>NT_187676.1:0-187935 GCF_000001405.40 Homo sapiens | reverse complement strand
GAATTCCATTCTAGCACTTGTGAGCATGTGTCTTTGCACCAGTCATGTCTTCTATTTTTTTTTTTTTTGAGATAGAGTCTCACTGTGTTCCAGCCTCTGGAGTAGCTGGGACTACAGGCACACACCACATACCCAGGTAATTTTTTTCATATTTTTAGTAGAAACGGGGTTTTGCCATGTTGGCCAGGCTGGTCTTGAACTCCCAACCTCAGATGACCTGCCTGCTTCGGCCTCCCAAAGGGCTGGGATGGCAGGCCTCTGAGGCTGGAGTACAGTGGTGTGATCTCAGCTCACTGCAACCTCCGCCTCCCGAGTTCAAGCAATCCTCTTGCTTCAGCCCCGAGTAGCTGTAATTACTGGCGTGCGCCACCACACCCAACTCATGTTTGTATTTTTAGTAGAGATGGGGTTTCACTGTGTTGGCCAGGCTGGTCTTGAACTCCTGACCTCAAGTGATCCAGCCGCCCCTGCCTTCCAAAGTGCTGGGATTACATGCAGGAGCCACCCGGCCCAGCCCGTCTTCTATTTAAGCCTCATTTTCCTCATTAAGTCATCATTACCTCTTTCTCCTCACACATAGTGAAATTCAAAGTCTCACTATTTTTTTTTCTTTTTCTTTTTCTTTTTCTTTTTTTTTGAGACGGAGTCTCACTCTGTCGCCCAGGCTGGAGTGCAGTGGCGCGATCTCAGCTCACTGCAAGCTCCGTCTCCCGGGTTCACGCCATTCTCCTGCCTCAGCCTCTTGCGTAGCTGGGACTACAGGCGCCCGCCACCACGCCCGGATAATTTTTGTATTTTTTTTTAGTAGAGACAGGGTTTCACCGTGTTAGCCAGGATGGTCTTGATCTCCTGACCTCATGATCCACCTGCCTCGGTTTCCCAAAGTGCTGGGATTACAGGCGTGAGCCACCGCGCCGGGCCTCACTCCTGTAATCCTAGCCGTGCGCCCCAGGCCCATCCCACCGTCATCTTCCAAACATCATTTTCAACCCTCCTGGCCTCATAGTTATTATTGTATTACCCCAGTTATCTTCCTGCCCCAGGGCACAGGCAGATGCCATTTCATTCTCTCCAGAGCCTCCTTTCTCCTGACAGCCACATGATTAACTCAAGTCTGAACGCATTTGCTCAGATGCCTTCTTTCTCTGTGAGGTCCATCTGGACAAACCTATTTAATATTGCTAGCTGCCATTTCAATCACTGTAAGTCTGTTCTACTTTGTCTTTTCCTTCCATAGCATCATTCCCTCCTGTGTGCTATCCTGACGTTGACCGATGGTGTGTCTCCTCCTGCTAGAATCTAAGTGCTGCACAGTCAAGATATCTGCCTGGCTGACTGTTACAGTGTAGTTCACTGTGTATACTATGCACTTGATGAATATATATATATAATAGTTTTGTTTTTGTTTTTCTGTGAGATGGAGTCTCGCTGTGTCGTGCAGTGGAGTGGAATGCAGTGGCGCGATCTCAGCTCACTGCAACCTCTGCATCCCAGGTTCAACAATTCTCCTGCCTCAGCCTCCTGAGTAGCTGGGATTACAGGCGAGCACCACCAGGCCCGGCTAATTTTTGTATTTTTAGTAGAGATGGGGTTTCACCATGTTGGTCAGGCTGGTCTCGAATTCCTGACCTTGTGATCCAACCACCTTGGCCTCCCGAAGTGTTGGGATTACAGGTGTGAGCCATGATGCCCAGCCTAAGTTTTGTATTTTTAGTAGAGACAGGGTTTCGCCATGTTGGCCAGGCTGGTCTCAAACTCCTGACCTCAAATGATGCACCATCTCGGCCTCCCAAAGTGCTGGGATTACAGGCGTGAGCCACCACGCCTGGCCTCGATGAATATTTTGAATGAATGCCACGTTTTTAGTGTCACTGGGAGGCTCTGATCGCTCGTCTGAGCTTAGAAGGACCAGTTACTCACCAGGAAAGGTGGGGTCTTCAGGTGCAAGGCTGGTGTTCTCAATGTCGCCTGGAAAAGGAGATAAAGAAAAAAAAGTAAGGGTTTTTGGTTTCCTCCGGTCTTGCCATTCTTTTTTTTTTTTTTTTTTTTTTGAGATGGAGTCTTGCTCTGTCGCCCAGGTTGCAGTGCGGTGGTATGATCTCGGTTCACTACAACCCCCGCCTCCCGGGTTCAAGCGATTCTCCTGCCTCAGCCTCCTGAGTAGCTGGGACTACAGGTGTCCGCCACTGCGTCTGGCTAATTTCTGTATTTTTAGTAGAGACGGGGTTTCACCGTCTTGGCCAGGCTGGTCTCGAACTCCTGACCTTGTGATCCACCCGCCTTACCATTCCTTTCTCTGTTCCCTCCTCCTTCCTGCTTCTGGTGTTCTTCCTCACATGACCAACCAGGCACCCAGGAAGTGGACGTCCCTTGGACACCCTCCCCATCACTCTCTGGGGATCCCTCAGGGCTCCAGGTAGCACATGGCGGCGAAGGGTGTGGGGAATTGAGCATTTCCTCACCTGTGACCAGGAGCTTCACTGGCTCACTGGGGAAAGACCAGGCATGGTTGTTATAGGAGCCAAAACATCGGTATGTCCCTCTGTGGGCTGTGGTCACAGGGCCCAGGGGGAACTCCGCCTGGACCTTCCCGTATCCGCGCTGTACGTGGCTGGATCTTCCCTCCTTGAGCAGTAAGAACATGCTTGTTGCAGTGTCTAGACGGCAGTAGAAGGTCACCTTCTCTCCCGAGATCACTTCGGGTCCAGGATGAACCGAGAGGGTGGGTGTGTCATACATTTCTATGAGAGAAGGTGGGGCCACCACACCAGAAACTCAGTGATGAGCAGCCAGCTATTTTTTTTTTTCTTTCTTTAGAGATGGAGTCTCTCTCTGTCGCCCAGGCTGGAGTGCAGTGACACGATCTTGGCTCACTGCAACCTCCGCCTCCCGGGTTCAAGCGTTTCTCCTGCCTCACCCTCCCAAGTAGCTGGGACTACAGGGGCCTGCCACCATGCCTGGCAGCCAGCTTTTTTTTTTTTTTTTAATTATTATTTTGGTCAAATACACACAATAGAAGATTTACCGTCTAAAACCATTTTTAAAAATGATACAGGGTCTTGCTCTGTTTCCCAGGCTGGAGCGCCGTGGCACTATCTTTGCTTACTGAAGCCTCGACCTCCTGGGTCAGGAGTTTGAGACCAGCCTGGTCAACATGGTGAAACCCCGTCTCTACTAAAAATGCAAAAATTAGCCGGGTGTGGTGGCACATGCCTGTAATCTCAACTACTTGGGAGGCTGAGGCAGGAGAATTGAGGCTGAGGCAGAGGTTGCAGTGAGCTGAGATTGTACCACTGCACTGCAGCGAGACTGTCTCAAAAAAAAAAAAAAAAGCCCCGGCCAGCCGCCCCGTCCGGGAGGTTGGGGGGCAGCCCCCGCCCGGCCACTGCCCCGTCTGGGAGGTGGGGGGGCGCCTCTGCCCGGCCGCCCCGTCTGGGAAGTGAGGAGCCCCTCTGCCCGGCCGCCACCCCGTCTGGGAGGTGTACCCAACAGCTCATTGAGAACGGGCCATGATGACGATGGCGGTTTTGTCGAATAGAAAAAGGGGAAATGTGGGGAAAAGAAAGAGAGATCAGATTGTTACTGTGTCTGTGTAGAAAGAAGTAGACATAGGAGACTCCATTTTGTTCTGTACTAAGACAAATTCTTCTGCTTTGGGATGCTGTTAATCTATGACCTTACCCCCAACCCCGTGCTCTCTGAAACATGTGCTGTGTCCACTCAGGGTTAAATGGATTAAGGGCGGTGCAAGATGTGCTTTGTTAAACAGATGCTTGAAGGCAGCATGCTCCTTAAGAGTCATCACCACTCCCTAATCTCAAGTACCCAGGGACACAAACACTGCGGAAGGCCGCAGGGACCTCTGCCTAGGAAAGCCAGAGACCTTTGTTCACATGTTTATCTGCTGACCTTCTCTCCACTATTGTCCTATGACCCTGCCAAATCCCCCTCTCCGAGAAACACCCAAGAATGATCAATAAATACTAAAAAAATTAAAAAAAAAAGAATAAATGAGTAGCTGTGTTCCCCTGCCAGAACCTCCAAACAAGGTCCAAAGACCCTGAGCAAATGAAAAGGCACAGACAAAAAATATATATATTTCAACACAAGTATATGACACAGAATATAGAAATAACTTTTCCTAATCAATCAAAATATAAGCAACCCAATTTAAAAATAGGCAAAAGATTTAAATAGACATTTCACAAAAGAAGATATTTGAATGGACATGAAATACTGTTGTGAGCTGCATAATGACATTTTGGCCAACAATGTACCACATATATGATGGTGGTCCCATAAGATTATAATGAAACTGAAAAATTCCTATTGCCTGATGACATCATAGCCTTCCTAGCACAAAGTATTGCTCATGTGTTTTTGGTGTTGCTGGTATAAACAAACCTAATTGTATAGCACATACAATTATGTATGTATATGTAACTATGTATAATACTTGATAATAATAATAAACAACCATATTGTTAAAAAAAAAAAAAAGCTAATTTTTTTTTTTTTTTAGAAAACCACCACCTGGCTGGGTGTGATGGCTCACACCTGTAATCCCAGCACTTTGGGAGGGTGAGGCGGGCGGATCATCTGAGGTCAGGAGTTCGACACCACCCTGGCCAACATGGTGAAACCCCATCTCTACTAAAAATACAAAATGTGGCGTAGTGGTGGGTGCCTGTGATCCCAGCTACTTGGGAAGCTGAGGCTGGAGAATCACTTGAACCCAGGAGGTGGAGGTTGCAGTGACTGGAGATTGCACCACTGCACTCCAGCCTGGGTGACAAGAGCGAAACTCCGTCTCAAAACAGATAAAAAAAAAAAAAACCCACCACCTGTGATGGGTGAGGGAAGCAAAGTGTAAGCCACTGCGCCTGGCCCACAGGCATTGTTTTTGAGGACATTCCTCAGTCATACCCCTGCATACAAATATCTATCTCAGAATCTGTGTCATGGAGAAACTGACTGAGGACACATCTGCTCCTAGGACGTAGAGACACGGTCTGCAGACAACCCCTTGTAGGCAAGGATTGTGATGGGGATCACCCCTCCTTCCAGCCTCCTACCGAGACAAGCAGTGTCTGAGTGGGGCTTGGAAGAGTTCATAGATGATGCTGCATCCCGGATGCAGACTGAGATCACTCTCCAGTTAGAGAACCGGACAGTTACCTGTTACCACCAGATCCAGCAAGTTGCTGGGCTCTGACCAGAGCTCCCCAACCCGATAGATGCAGCTGTATTGCCCTGCCATGCGGGAGTTCATGTCCGGGATGTAGAATTGGACTTTGTTAATCCGCTCAGGGGGTTTTGGTCTGTCCACGGCAAAAAGGCTTCCTTCAAAGTGCAGCTGGTATTCAACAGCCCCATAATTTCCCTGGCAACAGATGGTCACTTGCTTTTCCTTTGGAACCATGAAATGGGGCTCGGCCCAGATGAACGGTTTTGGGAGAGTCTCTGGAAGGGAATCAGAGGCTGGAGTTCCAGCGGAGCCCCCTCCCCCCAACCTTAGGCTCCACCCAGCTGCTGGCCCCAAGCTCTCCTGGGAAGCCAGCACCCTGTCCCCTCACCCCAGCCGTGCTTGGGTGGAAGGAGCTTGGCCTGAATCCGGAAGAGTGACCCTGGGCTTTGAAGGAAGGACTCACGCTGCTGGGCGCTGATCCTCTGACTCAGACACAGCCCTGGAAGACGGGAGTAATGAGACCTGTTGCCTCCCAGGCACACCGTGATCCCATTCCCCTTCCACGCCAGAACTCACCGACGCAGAGCAGGGCAGGGAGTGTGGAAGACATCGCTCAGATTCTGCCGGCCTAGTGCTGAGCAGTGGGGACTGAGCCGGGCGGGCCAGGGAGATAGATACACAGGAAGTGGTGGGTGAGCACCAGCGCCCATCACCAGAGCGCTTTCACGTTGACTGCTTTCATCAGAACGTTCACAACTCCCCTCCGCCTCTGACCATGAGCTTACAGAAAGGCCGTGGTCCCTCTGACACATCTGTGGTCTAGCCAGCAACTCTGACAATTGTCTGCTCAGCCCAAAATGCATTTCTGGGTCAACTTCTCAATTCTGCAATGTGGAGGTCGTACCCAGAGCTGACTGTGGGAAGTTGTGCCCAATCATGCCCAGAGGAAACCCCCTGAGAATCGTATAAAAACATAGGGAGTTTCACAGTGAGATACTGGAACAGGAATTAAAAGAAATTACAGAATGTGTAAACAAAAACTCAGTTGTATTTAAGAAAACCCAGTTCCCCCCGAGGAAGAGAAAGAGGTGGAGTCCTTTAAACATGAACTGCCTGTTTTTCTGTCTGTGGCTAGTGAGCCTTATCTCTCCCTTTCCCAGGCATTGTGAAGACCCTGTTTCTCTTGCCGTGCGGCTGCAAGGTCACTAGACAGGATAACCTCAAGTCGTAAAACATATTTTTCTTGAAAAGTAAGGAATAATGTGATGCATGTCTCAATTGAATAACTGCCTTTGTTTCTTGCTTCTGTAATATGCTTCCCCCTGCACAGATCTCCCCCAACCCCACAAAATGCTTAAAAGGTAACCGGACTCTCTGTTCGAGCCTCAGTCTTTTTGGATGTTAATCTGACTGGGGCCGGTGCACCTAAATAATAATAATAATAATAAATCCTCCTCAACCCCTCGGTCTCTCTGATTCCTAAATTATCCCTCAACAATACCATCTCACACCAGTCAGAATGGCCATTACTGAAAAGCCAGAAATTAACAGATGCTGGTGAGATTGTGGAGCAAAGGGGACACTTATACACTGTTGGTGGGTGTAAATTAGTTCAGCCACTGTGGAAAGCAGTTTGGTTTGGAGATATTTCAGAGAACTACAAACAGAGTTACCATTCAGCCCAGCAATCCCATCGCTGGGTATATAGCCAAAGGAAAATAAATCATTCTACCAAAAAGACACATGCACTTGTATGTTCATTGCAGCAGGATTCACAATAGTGAAGACATGGAATCCACCCAGGTCCCATCAGAGGTGGACTGGATAAAGACAATGTGATATGTATACACCACAGAACGCTATACAGCCTTGAAAAATCACAAGATTATGTCCTTTGCAGCAACATGGATGCAGCTAGAGGCCATTATCCTAAGCGAGTTAACACAGAAACAGAAAACCAAATACTGGCCAGACACGGTGGCTCAGGCCTGTCATCCCAGCACTTTGGGAGGCTGAGGCAGGTGGATCACCTTAGGTCGGGAGTTCGAGACCAGCCTGACCAACATGCAGAAACCCTGTCTCTACTAAAAATTCAAAATTAGCCGGGTGTGGTGGCACATGCCTGTAGTCCCAACTACTCGGGAGGCTGAGGCAGGAGAATTGCTTGAACCTGGAAGGTGAAGGTTGCAGTGAGCCGAGATGGTGCCATTGTACTCCAGCCTGGGCAACAAGAGTGAAACTCCATCTCAAAAAAAAAAAAAAAAAAGAAAAGAAAACCAAATACCACATGTTCTCACTTATAAGTGAGAGCGCTAAACATTGGGTAAGGAGGGGAGCAAGGCTTGAAAATCTACCTATTTGGTGACTAGATCATTAATGCAAGCCTCAGCATCATGCAATATACTCATAAAAAACCTGCACATGTATCTGCTGAATCTAAAAAGATAAAAATAGGGGTTTTGACGTTGGCTTCTCTGTGTACAGTATACATATGCTTGGATAAGTTAATTGGTTTCATCAGAATGGAATGATAACACTATCTTCTTCAAAGATAGTGTTATAATGTTTCAATAAAATAAAAGTGAAAAGAAAAGCTTTTCATTTAAAGAACTTAATAAGAAAAGAAACATTTCTTTTCTTTTTCTTTTTCTTTCTTTTTTTTTTTTTTTTTTGAGACAGAGTCTTGCTCTGTTGCCCAGGCTGTGGTGCAGTGGTGTGATCTCAGCTCACTGCAACCTCTGCCTTGTGGGTTCAAGCAATTCTCCTGCCTCAGCCACCTGAGTAGCTGGGACTACAGACACCCAACACCACGCCCAGCTCATTTTTGTACTTTTAGTAGAGACCGGTTTTTACCACGTTGGCCAGGATGGTCTCCAACTCCTCACCTCAAGTGAATCTTCCTGCCTCGGCCTCTCAAAGTGCTGGGATTACAGGTGTGAGCCACCACACCCAGCCAAGAAACATTTCTTTTAAGTAAGTAACTAACTCTCCACTTAATAAAAAAAAATTCTATGCAGAAGTTGTTAAGATCTACAGTAAGAAAAAAGAAATTCATGCATTTTATATATACACACATATATACATATATACCTTTTATATATATACACATATATACATTTATACATATATGTATACATATATACATATATGTGTATATATACTGCATAGTACCGTACATGTATATATACACATGCATATATACACATACATGTATATGCGTATATATACACATATATGTATATATACACACATGCATACATGCATATATATGTATACACACATGTATGCGTGTATACATACATATATGTATATACATACATGTATCCGTGTATACATACATATATGTATATACATACATGTATGCGTGTATACATACATGTATGCGTGTATACATACATATACATATATGTATATACATACATGTATATATACATGTATGTATATATGCATATATGTATAT
This sequence comes from Homo sapiens, assembly GCF_000001405.40. Lineage (NCBI taxonomy): Eukaryota > Metazoa > Chordata > Mammalia > Primates > Hominidae > Homo > Homo sapiens. Next base: position 179,287 of record NT_187676.1, on the reverse strand, counting down.
ACATACATGTATATATACATGTATGTATACATATACGTATATGTGTATATATGTATATACATATATATATACATGTAAGGTACTATGTAGTTTTCAGCATCCACTGGGGCCTTGGAATATATCCTGGTGGATACATGTGACTACTGTACAAGACTAGTTGTATCTTCTTGAGGCAAACAAATGTGCTAATTCTTTTTTTTTTCTCTTTAAGACGGAATCTCACTCTGTCCCTCAAGCTGGGGTGCAGTGGTGCAATCTCAGCTCACTGCAACCTTCACCTCCTGGGTTCAAGCAATTCTCCTGTTCTAGCCTCCCAAGTAGCTGGGATTACAGGCGTGTGCCACCACACTCGACTAATTTTTGTATTTTTAGTAGAGACAGGGTTTCCCCATGTTGGCCAGGCTAGTCTCGAACTCTTGACCTCAAGTGATCAGCCCACTTTAGCCTCCCAAAGTGCTGGGATTACAGGCGTGAGCCACCACACCCAGCCCGCCTCCTTCTTATTTACTGAAGATTCAGTACTCGGTGCTGGCGTTTCCCCTTACACAGCTGTCATAACTCTGGGTGTTTTCTTTATCCTTCCCCCTACGGAGCGCTTGGATGCCCTCTATGGAGGAGACTTATGTAGGCTGGATCCTCAGACCTCAGCCACCCTCTCAGCCATAACATAGTTACCTTCACCAAAGAAATATAAGAATATTGTCTTTTATTATTTTGAGCTTTTAATTTTGACATAATTCCAGACTTGCAAAAATAGTTTAAAGAATTTCTGGCCAGGTGCAGTGGCTCACACCTGTAATCCCAGCACTTTGGGAGGCCGAGGTGGGTGGATTGCTTGAGACGAGCCTGGGGGAAAAAAAAATGCAAAAATTAGCCAGGTGTGGTGCTGTGCGCCTATAGTCCCAGCTACTTGGGAGGCTGAGGTGAGAGGGTCATCTGAGCCCAGGGAGGTAGAAGCTGCAGTGAGCCATGATCGTGCCACTGCACTCTAGCCTGGGTGACAGAGTGTTACCCTGTCTATAAAAAAAAAAAAAATCTGTAATTTCTTCATCCAGATTTCCCCAAAGTTAGCATTTTACCACATTTGCTTCATCATTCAGCCTCTCTCCCTCTCCCTCTCTCCCCGAAGAAAGTGTGTCTAATTTGCATATGATGCCCTAAACCTCTAATCACTTCAGGTTATATTTCCCAAAACCAAGGACATTCTGTTATTAATGTTCAAGGTCAAGAAATAGCACTGATATGACACTATTGTCTGATCTATCCACTTTATTCAAATTTCACCACTTGTTTTACCAGTGACATATATTTGGTTTAGGATTTAATCCAAGATTACACAATTTATTTAATTGTCATGTCTCTCTTATTTGGAGATGGAATCTTGCTCTGTAGCCCAGGCTGGAGTGCAATGGTGTGATCTCAGCTCACTGCAACCTCCGCCTCCTGGGTTCAAGCAATTCTCTTGCCTCAGCTTCCTGAGTAGCTGGGATTAGAGGCACCCACAACCACGCCCAGCTAATTTTTGTATTTCTAGTAGAGATGGGGTTTCGTCAAGTTGGCCAGGCTGGTTTTGAACTCCTGAACTCAACTGATCCACCTGCCTCAGCCTCCCAAAGTGCTGGGATTAGAGGCATGAGCCACCACGCCCAGCCTCCTTTAAAAAATAAAACTATAGACTTTATTCTGATTTCACCAGTTTTTCCACTAGCATCCTTTCTTCGCTCCAGGAGCTCCAGTGATCCGCCTGCCTCAGCCTCCCACCTGCCTCGGCCTCCCAAGGTATTGGGATTACAGGTGTGAGCCATCTGGATCTATTTAATTCAGCCTTAAGCCCACACCAGCATTCCTGGGACTGTCCCCCCTCTACAGACTCTAAGCCATGTTTGAGATGATGAATTTCAAGTCGTGATTCAATCACTTAAGTGGTAAGTGACACAGAGGATATTACTAATCTTTTTTTTTTTTTTTTTTTTTTTTGAGATGGACTCTCGCTCTGTCACCCATGCTGGAGTGCAGTGGCGCAATCTCGGCTCTCTGCAAGCTCTGCCTCCGGGGTTTATGCCATTCTCTTGCCTCAGCCTCCTGAGTGGCGCAATCTCGACTCACTGCAAGCTCTGCCTCCCGAGTTTATGCCATTCTCCTGCCTCAGCCTCCTGAGTAGCTAGGACTACAGGTGCCCACCACCACGTCCGGGTAATCTTTTTTTTTTTTTTTCAAAGTAGAGATGGGGTTTCACCATGTTAGCCAGGATGGTCTCCATCTCCTGACCTCGTGATCCGCCCTTCTCGGCCTCCCAAAGTGCTGGGATTACAGGCGTGAGCCACCGCACCCGGCCTTTTTTTGGTATTTAAAAATATAACTTTATTGAGATATAATTTACATGCCATACAATTACCCATTAAAAGTGCATAATTCAATGGTTTAAATTTTGTGGTATTCACGGAGTTGGTGCAACCGTCAACACAGTCTAATTTTAGAATGTTGTCATCACTGCCCTTCAGAACCCCATGCCGACCAGCTGCCCATCACCACGATCCCCTCACTCTCCCGGCCCTAGGCAACCACTCATCTTCTGTCTCTAAACACCAGAAGGTACTTTTCAAAAATTGTGGCAAAATACACATAACATACATTTTAATATTTAAGAAGTTTTCTAAGGCCAGGTGCAGTGGGTCATGCCTGTAATCCCAGCACTTTGGGAGGCCGAGGTGTGCGGATCACCAGGTCAGGTGATCCAGACTGTCAGGCCTCTGAGCCCAAGCTAAGCCATCATATCCCCCTGTGGCCTGTATGTACACATCCAGATGGCCGGTTCCTGCCTTAACTGATGACATTCCACCACGAAAGAAATGAAAATGGCCTGTTCTTGCCTTAAGTGATGACATTATCTTATGAAATTCCTTCTCCTGGCTCATCCCGGCTCAAAAGCTCCCCTACTGAGCACCTTGTGAACCCCACTCCTGCCCGCCAGAGAACAACCCCCTTTTGACTGTAATTTTCCTTTACCTACCCAAATCCTATAAAACGGCCGCACTCCTATCTCCCTTTGCTGACTCTCTTTCTGGACTCAGCCCGCCTGCACCCAGGTGAAATAAACAGCCTTGTTGCTCACACAAATCCTGTTTGGTGGTCTCTTCACACGGACGTGAGTGAAATTTGGTGCCATAACTCGAATCAGGGGATCTTCCTTAGGAGATCAATCCCCTGTCCTCCTGCTCTTTGCTCCATGAGAAAGATCCACCTACGACCTCTCGTCCTCAGACCAACCAGCCCAAGGAACATCTCACCAATTTTAAATCCAGTAAGCAGCCTCTTTTTACTCTCTTCTCCAACCTCTCTCACTATCCCTCAACCACTTTCTCCTTTCCACTCTTCAATCTCTCCCTTCTCTTAATTTCAGTTCCTTTCCTTTTCTGGTAGAGACAGGAGACGCGCTTTATTCGTGGACCCAAAACTCCAGCGCCGGTCATGGACTCGGGAAGGCAGCCTTCCCTTGGTGTTTAATCACGCGGGGACACCTCTCTGATTATTCACCCACGTTTCAGAGGTGTCTGACCACATGGGGATGCCTGCCTTGGTCCTTCACCCTTAGTGGCAAGTACTGCTTTTCTGGGGGGGCAAGAACCCCCAACTCCTTCTCTGTGTCTCTACCCCTTCTCTGCTTTTCTGGGGGGGCAAGAACCCCCCAACCCCTTCTCCTTCACCCTTAGTGGCAAGTACCGCTTTTCTAGGGGGCAAGAATCCCCCGATCCCTTATTTCTGTGCCCTGACGTCTTATCTCTGCACCCCGATCCCTTATTTCCACACCCCGACCTCTTGTCTCTGCACCCCAATCCCTTACTTCTGTGCCCTGACCCCTTTCCCGCTTTTCTGGAAGGTAAGAACCCCTGAACCCCTTCCCTCCATGTCTCTACTCTCTCTTTTCTCTGTGCTTGCCTCCTTCAGTATGGGCAACCTTCCACCCTCCATTCCTCCTTCTTCTCCCTTAGCCTGTGTTCTTAAAAACCTAAAACCTCTTCAACTCACACCTGACCTAAAACCTAAATGCCTTATTTTCTTCTGCAATGCTGCTTGACCCCAATACAAACTTGACAGTGGTTCCAAATAGCCAGAAAACGGCACTTTCAATTTTTCCATCCTACAAGATCTAAATAATTCTTGTTGTAAAATGGGCAAACGGTCTGAGGTGCCTGACATCCAGGCATTCTTTTACACATCGGTCCCTCCCTAGTCTCTATGCCCAGTGCAACTCGTCCCAAATCTTCCTTCTTTCCCTCCCGCCTGTCCCGTCAGTCCCAACCCCAAGCATCGCTGAGTCTTTCTAATCTTCCTTTTCTACAGACCCATCTGACATCTCCCCTCCTCGCCAGGCCGAGCTGGGTCCCAATTCTTCCTCAGCCTCCGCTCCTCCACCCTATAATCCTTTTATCACCTCCCCTCCTCACACCCGGTCCAGCTTACAGTTCCATTCCATGACTAGCCCTCCCCCAACTGCCCAGCAATTTCCTCTTAAAAAGGTGGCTGAAGCTAAAGGCATAGTCAAGGTTAATGCTCCTTTTTCTTTATCTGACCTCTCCCAAATCAGATAGTGTTTAGGCTCTTTTTCATCAAATTTAAAAACACAGCCCAGTTCATGGCTCATTTGGCAGCAACCCTGAGACGCTTTACAGCCCTAGACCCTAAGTCAAAAGGCCGTCTTATTCTCAATATACATTTTATTACCAAATCTGCTCCCAACATTAAATAAAGCTCCAAAAATTAAATTCTGTCCCTCAAACCCCACAACAAGACTTAATTAACCTCGCCTTCAAGGTGTACAGTAATAGAGTAGAGGCAGCCAAATAGCAACATATTTCTGAGTTGCAATTCCTTGCCTCCACTCCAGTATCCAGATGAGACAAACCCCAGCCACATCTCCAGCACACGAGAACTCCAAACGCCTGAACCGCAGCTGCCAGGGGTTCCTCCAGAACCTCTTCCCCCAGGAGCTTGCTACAAGTACTGGAAATCTGGCCACTGGGCCAAGGAATGTCCACAGCCTGGGATTCCTCCTAAGCCGCATCCCATCTGTGCGGGACCCCACTGAAAATCGGACTGTTCAACTCACCTGGCAGCCACTCCCAGAGCAGCTAGAACTCTGGCCCAAGGCTCTCTGACTCCTTCCCAGATCTTCTCGGCTTAGCAGCTGAAGACTGACACTGCCCGATCCCGATCGCCTCGGAAGCCTACAGGACCATCACAGACAGTCTAGGTAACTCTCACAGTGGAAGGTAAGCCCGTCCCCTTCTTAATCAATATGGAGGCTACCCACTCCACATTACCTTCTTTTCAAGGGCCTGTTTCTCTTGCCTCCATAACTGTTGTAGGTATTGACAGCTAGGCTTCTAAACCTCTTAAAACTCCCCAACTCTGGTGCCAACTTAGACAATACTCTTTCAAGCACTCCTTTTTAGTTATCCCCACCTGCCCAGTTCCCTTATTAGGCTGAGACACTTTAACTAAATTATCTGCTTCCCTGACTATTCCTGGACTACAGCTATATCTCATTGCTGCCCTTCTTCCCAATCCAAAGCCTCCTTTGTGTCCTCCTCTTGTATCCCCCCACCTTAACCCACAAGTATAGGATACCTCTACTCCCTCCTTGGTGACCAATCATGCACCCCTTACCATCTCATTAAAACCTAATCAACCTTACCCCGCTCAATGCCAATATCCCATCCCACAGCATGCTTTAAAAGGATTAAAGCCTGCTACAGCATGGCCTTTTAAAGCCTATAAACTCCCCTTACAATTCTCCCATTTTACCTGTCCTAAAACCAGACAAGGCTTACACATTAGTTCAGGATCTGCACCTTATCAACCAAATTGTTTTGCCTATCCACCCCGTAGTGCCAAACCCATATACTCTCCTATCCTCAATACCTGCCTCTACAACCCATTATTCTGTTCTGGATCTCAAACATGCTTTCTTTACTGTTCCTTTGCACCCTTCATCCCAGCCTCTCTTCGCTTTCACTTGGACTGACCCTGACACCGATCAAGCTCAGCAAATTACCTAGGCTGTACTGCTGCAAGGCTTCACAGACAGCCCCCATTACTTCAGTCAAGCCCAAATTTCTTCCTCCTCTGTTACCTATCTCGGCATAATTCTCATAAAAACACACGTGCTCTCCCTGCCAATCGTGTCCTAGTGATCTCTCAAACCCCAGCACCTTCTACAAAACAACAACTCCTTTCCTTCCTAGGCATGGTTAGCGTGGTCAGAACTCTTACACAAGAGCCAGGACCGCACCCTGTAGCCTTTCTGTCCAAACAACTTGATCTTACTGTTTTAGCCTAGCCCTCACGTCTGTGAGCAGCGGCTGCCGCTGCTTTAATAGTTTTAGAGGCCCTCAAAATCACAAACTATGCTCAACTCACTCTCTACAGTTCTCATAACTTCCAAAAATCTATTTTCTTCCTCACACCTGACGCATATACTTTCTGCTCCCCGGCTCCTTCAGCTGTACTCACTCTTTGTTGAGTCTCCCACAATTACCATTGTTACTGGCCCATACTTCAATCCGGCCTCCCACATTATTCCGGATACCACACCTGACCCCCATGACTGTATCTCTCTGATCCACCTGACATTCACCCCATTTCCCCACATTTCCTTCTTTCCTATTCCTCACCCTAATCACATTTAGTTTATTGATGGCAGTTCCACCAGGCCTAATCGCCACTCACCAGCAAAGGCAGGCTATGCTATAGTATCTTCCACATCTATCATTGAGGCTACCGCTCTGCCCCCTCCACTACCTCTCAGCAAGCCGAATTAGTTGCCTTAACTCAAGCCCTCACTGATGCAAAAGGACTATGCATCAATATTTATACTGACTCTAAATATGCCTTTCATATTCTGCCCCACCATGCGGTCATATGGGCTGAAAGAGGTTTCCTCACTACACAAGGGTCCTCCATCTTTAATGCCTCCTTAATAAAAACTCTGCTCAAGGCCGCTTTACTCCCAGAGGAAGCTGGAGTCATTCACTGCAAAGGCCATCAAAAGTCATCAGATCCCATTGCTCTAGACAATGCCTATGCTGACAAGGTGGCTAGACAAGCAGCTAGCTTTCCAACTTCTGTCTCTCACATCTATGCTTATGCTGATAAGGTAGCTAGACAAGCAGCTAGCATGCCAATTTCTGTCCCCCACAGCCAGTTTTTCTCCTTCTCATCAGTCACTCCCACCTACTCCCCCACTGAAACTTCCACCCATCAATCTCTTCCCACACAAGGCAAATGGTTCTTAGACCAAGGAAAATACCTCCTTCCAGCCTCACAGGCCCATTCTATTCGGTCGATATTTCATAGCCTCTTCCATGTAGGTTACAAGCTGCTAGCCCATCTCTTAGAACCTCTCATTTCCTTTCCATCCTGGAAATCTATCCTCAAGGAAACCACTTCTCAGTGTTCCATCTGCTATTCTACTACCCCTCAGGGATTGCTCAGGTCCCCTCCCTTCCCTACACATCAGGCTCGGGGATTTGCCCCCGCCTAGGACTGGCAAATTGACTTTACTCACATGCCCTGAGTCAGGAAACTAAAATACCTCTTGGTCTGGGTAGACACTTTCACTGGATGGGTAGAGGCCTTTCCCACAGGGTCTGAGAAGGCCACCGAGGTCATTTCTTCCCTTCTGTCAGACATAATTCCACAGTTTGGCCTTCCCACCTCTATACAGTCTGATAGCAGACCGGCCTTTATTAGTCAAATCAGCCAAGCAGTTTTTCAGGCTCTTGGTATTCAGTGAAACCTTTATATCCCTTACAGTCCTCAGTCTTCAGGAAAAGTAGAACAGACTAATAGTCTTTTAAAAACACACCTCACCAAGCTCAGCCACCAACTTAAAAAAGACTGGACAATACTTTTACCACTTTCTTTTCTCAGAATTCAGGCCTGTCCTCAGAATGCTAAAGGGTACAGCCCATTTGAGCTCCTGTATAGACGCTCCTTTTTATTAAGCCCCAGTCTCATTCCAGACACCAGACCAACTTGGAATGTGCCCCCAAAAACTTGTCATCCCTACTATCTTCTGTCTAGTCATACTCCTATTCACCATTCTCAACTACTCACACATGCCCTGCTCTTGTTTACACTGCTGGTTTACACTGTTTTTCCAAGCCATCACAGCTGATATCTCCTGGTGCTATCCCCAAACCACCACTCTTAACTCTTGAAGTAAATAAATAATCTTTGCTGGCAAGGCTATGCTGAACCTCCTTAGGCACTCTCTAATTAGATGTCCTAGGTCCTCCCAATTCTTAGACCTTTAATACCTGTTTTTCTCCTTTCCTTATTCCATTTAGTTTTTCAATTCATACAAAACTGCATCCAGGCCATCACCAGTAATTCTAAATGAAAAATGTTTCTTCTAACAATCCCACAATATCACCCCTTACCACAAAATCTTCCTTCAGCTTAATCTCTCCCACTCTAGGTTCCCACGCCGCCCCTAATCCCGCTCGAAGCAGCCCTGAGAAACATCGCCCATTCTCTCTCCATACCACCCCCCAAAATTTTCGCCATCCCAACACTTTACCACTATTTCGTTTTATTTTTCTTATTAATATAAGAAGACAGGAATGTCAGGCCTCTGAGCCCAAGCTAAGCCATCATATCCCCTGTGACCTGCACGTACACATCCAGATGGCCGGTTCCTGCCTTAACTGATGACATTCCACCACGAAAGAAATGAAAATGGCCTGTTCCTGCCTTAACTGATGACATTATCTTGTGAAATTCCTTCTTCTGGTTCATCCTGACTCAAAAGCTCCCCTACTGAGCACCTTGTGACCCCCCACTCCTGCCCACCAAAGAACAACCCCCCTTTGACTGTAATTTTCCTTTACCTACCCAAATCCTATAAAACGGCCCCACCCCTATCCCCCTTCGCTGACTCTCTTGTCGGACTCAGCCTGCCTGCACCCAGGTGAAATAAACAGCCTTGTTGCTCACACAGAGCCTGTTTGGTGGTCTCTTCACACGGACGCGCATGAAACAGACCAGCCTAGCCAACATGGTGAAACCCCGTCTCCACGAAAATACAAGAAATTAGCCGGGCGTGGCGGTGCGCACCTGTAGTTCCAGCTACTCGGGAGGCTGAGGCAGGGGAATCACTTGAACCTGGGAGGCGGAGATTGCAGTGAGCCCAGATCACACCAGCGTAGCGACAGAGTGAAACTCTGTCTCAAAAAAAAAAAAAAAAAAAAAAGAAAAAGAAGTTTTCTAAGGCCAGGCGCAGTGGCTCATGCCTGTAATCCAAGCACTTTTGGGAGGCTGAGGCGGGCAGATCACCTGAGGCCGGGAGTTCGAGACCGGCCTGACCAACATGGTGAAACCCTGTCTCTACTAAAAATACAAAAATGAGCTGGGCATGGCGGCGGGTGCCTGTAATCCCAGCTTCTTGGGTGCGGGGGGGATCTGTTCTGCAGATCCCAGCTGTACGACAGATGAGACACGTCCTCAGACACCAATATTCAGTGAAAGAGCAGGCCAGGGGGCTGCCGGCACTAGGAGCCAAAGAGAGTGCAGCCCCTCTAAGCTGGCAACGCTTGCATTTATTTAGCACAGATTTAATTAACAAAGGCTTTGAGTCAACACACCTGTGGGTAATTAACCTGGTCACCGCCCCCCGCCACCTCCCTGGAGAGGGCCATCTTGCCCGAGAATGATCAAAGGTTGATTTTAGGACCATATGACTAAGCAAGCTATTTAGATAAAATACTCCGCATTCCTTTGTATCTGCGCCCTAAGCTGTTTGGCTCCTGAAAAGAGAATCTGGCTGCTTTCAGCCAAACTATCTGAAGCTATGCCAACCTCCCTGGCCTTCCAAGAAGGTTTGCTGCTTCCTATTCCTATAATTTCTTCTGCTACTCTGACTGATCTCCCACACTTGGGAGGTTGAGGCAGGAGAATCCCTTGAACCAGGGAGGCAGAGGTTGCAGTGAGCCGAGATCACACTACTGCACTCCAACTTGGGTGACAAGAGCGAGACTCCATCTCAGAAAAAAAAGTTAAAAAAAAATTGTAGGCCAGGCGTGGTGGCTCACGCCTGTGATCCCAGCACTTTGGGAGGCCAAGGCGGGTGGATCACCTGAGGTCCAGAGTTCGAGACCAGCCTGACCAACATGGAGAAACCCCGTCTCTTCTAAAAATATAAAATTAGCCAGGCGTGGTGGCGCATGCCTGTAATCCCAGCTGCTCTGGAGGCTGAGGCAGGAGAATGGCTTGAGCCCAGGAGGCGGAGGTTGCGGTGAGCCGAGACCGCACCATTGCACTCCAGCCTGGGCAACAAGAGTGAGACTCTGTCTCAGAAAAAAAAAAAAAAAAATTGTAGTAAAAACATAACATACAATTTACCATCTTAGCCATTGTAAGTGTACAGTATAGCAGTGTTAAATGTATTCACGGTGTTTTGAAACAGATCTCCAGAATATTTTCATCTTGTAAAACTGAAACTCTATGCCTAAAAGAGGAATCGTTCAACACATAGAAGTTTTATTTCAACCATTTTTGTTGTTGTTGTTGAGATGGAGTCTTGCTCTGTCACCAAGGCTGGAGTGCGGTGGTACGATCTTGGCTCACTGCAACCTCCGCCTCCTGGGTTCAAGCCATTCTCCTGCCTCAGCCTCCTCAGTAGCTGGTAATGCAGGTGCGTGCCACCACACCTGGCTAATTTTTGTATTTTTAGTAGAGACGGGGTTTTGCCATGTTGGCCAGGCTGGTCTCGAACTCCTGGCCTCGTGATCTGCCTGCCTTAGCCTCCCAAAGTGCTGGGATTTCAGGTGTGAGCCACTGCGCTCAGCCTGGGAAATGTATACTTCAGAGATTGTTGGATTTTCAGGGCCTTCTGTGGCTTGACGTCATCTGGAAAAGTGTGGTCATTGGGAAGATATTACTTTGATTGGTTGTCACTCATGCTTGGGTGTTTACTGAAATGAGTCTGATTGGATGACTTTTAGAAGCAAGGAGCTGCCTGACTGATGGTAACATAACAATATAAAACGTATGGAGTGGCCGGGCTTTGTGGCTCACTCCTGTAATCCCAGCACTTTGAGAGGCTGAGGCAGGCAGATCACCCTGAGGTCAGAAGTTTGTGACCAGCTTGGCCAACATGGCGAAACCCGTCTGTACTAAAAATACAAAAATTATCTGCGTGTGGTGGCAGGTGCCTATAATCCCAGCTACTGGGGAGGCTGAGGCAGGAGAATTGCTGAACCCGGGAAAGAGAGGTTGCAGGGAGCCGAGGTCACGTCACTGCTCCCCAGCCTGGGTGACAGAGCAAGACCCCGTCTCAAAAAAAAAAAAAAAAAAAAAGAGCATCTTCACAGAGATGAGTTGTCATTGATGATGGGTTAAAAATCAGTTTTGGTGGCTACTTGTTACTGTGGTTACAGGACAATAAAATACTTTTCTGAAGAGCTCAGGAACTTTATTATTCTGAAAACGCTTTTTCCAAACAAGGTCCTTCTGTCAGCAAAACGACTTATATGAGTTTAATCTTATCCATCTCTGGGAATCTAGCCCCATTGTGTCTCTGTAATCCAAGTCCTGGACCTGACGTAAAGTCCCTCAACCCCCTTCATCCAAAATTGTGGCACTTTCCCTTTATTTATTTATTTATTATTTATTTGTTTGTTTACTTTTGAGACGGAGTCTCGCTCTGTGGCCCAGGCTGGAGTGTAGTGGCGTGATCTCAGCTCATTGCAAGCCCCGCCTCCCAGGTTCACGCCATTCTCCTGCCTCAGCCCCTGGAGTAGCTGGGACTACAGGCACCTGCCACCACACCTGGTGAAAAAAATCAGAACAAACTGAAGATATGGGCCAGAACTTGTATAAAGTGTGAAAAGCAGTCAATAAAGAAAGTTAGAAATACTTTGCATTTTTTTTTTAATCACAGGACCTGAGTTAAGCCAAGAATACAGTAGAAATTTTATCAAGTAGAGATAAGCTCTCAGTAAAGGATAAAAGTGGGCCTAAGTCCCTTCAGTTTCACTGGAAGTAGGACCCTTACATTTTATAATTATATTTTCATACATAAGCTACTGGACAATGAAGTAAATAGCAATCAGTGAAAGAGCCACATATGACCAACTTAGATTTCCTTGAGTAAAGTCTGTCAAGGGTAAAGCTGTGAAAGTTTATAAGAAAAAAGAATGGGGAATTATTTGGAAGACCATTTGAGTTTTGTACACAAGAATTTAATGTTTGCACACTTGATAATATATGTGAATATCATCAAAACTAAGTGAAAAAATAAATTAATGAGGTGAAACACATGCCTGTATTCCTTGTATGAAAATCCGGTAGAAATAGGGTTTGTGAAATAAATAGGGTAATCCTCCTGTAGGATTATGACTTTCACTCTTATCAATTTGTAGATGAACACAGCAGGAGGCTGAGGTAGGAGGATTGCTTGAGACCAGGAGTTCAAGACCAGCTTAGGCAACATAGGGAGAGCCTCACTTCAACAAAAAAAAATAAAGGAGGGGGGTTATTGAATATATTTGGCATGCTTACCAACCATTTATATTTGGGGAAGACACATTTAAAAATATAAAAAGAAGGCTGGGCGCAGTGGCTCACATCTGTAATCCCAGCACTTTGGGAGGCCGAGGCGGGCAGATCACGAGGTCAGAAGTTTGAGACCAGCTTGGCCAATGTGATGAAACCCCGTCTCTACTAAAAATACTGTAAAAGTAGCTGGGCGTGATGGTGGGAGCCTGCAATCCCAGCTACTTGGGAGGCCGAGGCAGGAGAATCACTTGAACCCAGGAGGCAGAGGTTGCAGTGAGCCGAGATCGTGCCACTGCACTCCAGCCTGGGCAACAGAGTGAGACTCTGTCTCAAATAAAAATAAAAATAAAAATAAATAAAATAAATAAAAAAAGAGAAGAACAATGAAGGAAGAAATTAAACAGGATATAAAAAATCAGAAGACAGATAAGATGGAAAACCATAACTTATGTGCAGAAAGGTGGGTGCAAATCGATCAGTCCTGCATAAGAAAACACCATTTGATTGGTTTGAACATGCATCTGGCCAGGCGTGGTGGCTCATGCCTATAATCTCAGCACTTTGGGAGGCCAAGGTGGGTGGATCACCTGAGGTCAGGAGTTCGAGACCAGCCTGGCCAACACAGTGAAACCCCATCTCTACTAAAAATACAAAAATTAGCTGGGTGCAGTGGTATGTGCCTGTAATTCCAGCTACTTGGGAGGCTGAGGCACAAGAATCACTTGAACCCAAGAGGTTCAATGAGCCGAGATTGCTCCACTGCACTCCAGCCTGGGTGACAGAGCCAGACTCTGTCTCAAAAAAAAAAAAAAGTAGATTCAAGCTTCTTAGTGAGCTTTTCTCTCTTGTGTCCTTCAAGTAGCTTTGTCGGACTCCACAGTCCTGGCTCCTCTCTGCCTTCACCTCCAGGTGTTTACTTGCAGACACTTGGTGTTCGTGCAAAGGTCAATCCTGGCTGACACATCTGTTGGCTCCAGCTCGGTTCAGCCACATCTGCCGAGGCTTCCTTGTTCAGTGCCGTATGGCTGTGCCAATTTTCAACCAGTATGGCCAAGAGAGCCACGAGGACCAGTCCTGCCACGGCCATGCGGATCAAGTTCTGCGTCGTGTAATCTTGGTGGATGGAGTCTGGAGACACAATTCAAGGAGATGAATGGTTGGTGGTTGTGTTCCATTCCATCCCAACCCCAGAGCCCTGAAACGGGAGCTCATTTTCCTTTTCGCTTGCCAAAATGGGACTCCCTCAAGCATCCCCTCAATGAGCTCATGCTTCGCCAGCACCACACTGATCAGTCAGCAAGACTGTGTTCACGGGCAAGGAACTGTGCTTCCCAGGGAAGTGCTATAAACTGGGAAGGAGGTGATTATGGGCAGGTTGTGTGTGTTTTTTTTTTTTTTTTTTTTTGAGATGGAGTCTCACTCTGTTGCCCAGGCTGGAGTGCAGTGGCGTGATCTCGGCTCACTGCAACCTCCGCCTCCCTGGTCAAGTGATTCTCCTGCCTCAGCCTCCCAAGTAGCTGGGATTACAGGCGCCCACCACCACCACGCCTGGTTAATTTTTGTATTTTTAGTGGAGATGGGGTTTCACTATGTTGGCCAGGCTGGTCTCGAACTCCCGACCTCAGGTGATCCACCTGCCTCAGCCTCCCAATGTGCTCAGATTACAGGCGTGAGCCATCGTGCCCAACCATGTTTTTTTTTTTTTTCTTGAGGTGGAGTCTCGTTCTGTCACCCAGGCTGGAGTGCAATGGCGTGATCTTGGCTCACTGCAACAGCTGCCTCCTGGGTTCAAGTGATTCTCCTGCCTCAGCCTCCTGAGTAGCTGGGACGACAGGCTCACGCCACCACGCCCGGCCAGGCAGGTTGTGTTTTCTTTTCATTCTCTCCTCACTTGGTGAATTCACTAAATACCTAATCACATCTCTACAACACCAGAACAAGGTGGAATCCTAATAAGAATGTGTGCAGCCTGGCCAGGCGCGGTGGCTCACGCCTGTAATCCCAGCACTTTGGGAGGCCGAGGCAGGTGGATCACCTGAGGTCGGGAGTTCGAGACCAGCCTGGCCAACATGGTGAAACCCTGTCTGTGTGGTCCCAGCTACTCAGGAGGCTGAGGCAGGAGAATTGCTTGAACCTGGGAGGCGAAGGTTGCAGTGAGTCGAGATCGTGCCACTGCACTCCAGCCTTGGCGAAAGAGCAAGACTCTATCCCGGAAAATAAAATGAAATAAATAAAATGAAACAAACTGAGTTAGCCCTTCTGTTCTCCACAGACTAAGTTTTCAATGAACCCTGTCTGGAGAACTCTAGCGAGGAAGTGAAAGCGGAAAGTGTGGTGGGGAAGCCTTTCTCTCTCCACTGTCCTGGAGTGAGAGCCTTTGCCTCTCTTCACTTCACTCTCAGTGCACGTCTTCATATTCCTGCCCGGTGGCAAGGCCCTGGACAGCCAACCCAGACACAGGGCTGGACTGGGCGGTACCTACCTGTGACCACAAGCTCCAAGGCATTACTGGGGAAGGACCACAGGTAGGGGCTCCTGTTGTACCAACCGTAGCACCTGTAGATCCCTGAGACATTGAGGTCCACAGGACCCAAAGAGAAGTTGGCCGGGTGTTCCCCACTTTGGTGCTGTGGCAGAGAAAGTTCTCCCTCCTTGGCCAGTGAAAATCTATCAAATGGGATGTGTGCTGAGCTGCACGTGAGGGAAATATTCTCTCCTGGCATCAACACCAGACCCCGATCTGCAGAGAGGAAGGGTTTGCCATACAAGCCTAAGAGAGAAAAGAGTGAGCTATTAGAAAGACCTTTTCTCCTTTATTCTTTTCTTCTTCTTATTATTGTTATTATTATATATTTTTTTGAGATGGAGTTTCGCTCTTATTGCCCAAGCTGGAGTGCAGTGGCGTGATCTCAGCTCACTGCAACCTCCGTCTCCCGGGTTCAAGCAATTCTCCTGCCTCAGCCTCCCGAGAAACTGGGATTACAGGTGCGTACCACCACGCCCAGCTAATTTTTGTATTTTTAGTAGAGACGGGGTCTCTCCATGTTGGTCAGGCTGGTCTCGAACTCCTGACCTCAGGTGATTTGCCCACCTTGGCCTCCCAAAGTGCTGGGATTACAGGCATGAGCAACTGTGCCCAGCCTATTATTGTTTTTTGAGATGGAGTCTCACTCTGTCACTGAGGCTGCAGTGCAGTGGCACGATCTCAGCTCACTGCAACCTCCACCTCCGAGGTTCAAGTGAGTCTCCTGCCTCAGCCTCCCGAGTAGCTGGGATTACAGGCACCCGCCACCACGCCCAGCTAATTTTTGTATTTTTAGTAAAGATGAGGTTTCTCCATGTTGGTCAGGCTGGTCTTGAATCCCTGACCTCAGGTGATCCACCTGCCTCAGCCTCCCAAAGTGCTGGGATTACAGGCGTGAACCACAGTGCCCAGCCTCTTTTTTCTTTTTTAGAATTTATTTATTTTAGAGAGGGTCTCACTCTGTCGCCCAGGCTGAGGGCAGTGGCATAATCACGGCTCACTGCAGCCTCGACCTCCCAGGCTCAGGTGATCCTACCATCTCAGCCTCTCAAGTAACTGAGACTACAGGTGGGTGCCACCATGCCCAGCTAATTTTTTGATTTTTTGTACAGATGGGGTCTTACTATGTTGCCCAGGCTGGTCTCCTGGGCTTAAGTGATCTGCCCATCTCGGCTTCTCAAAGTGCTGGGATTACAGGCGTGAGCCACGGCGCCCAGCCTCCCAAAGTGCTGGGATTACAGGCACGAGCCACGGTGTCTGGCCACAGTTACTACTTCAGCCAGGCTTTCAACAACAGCCAGCTCAACATCCACAGTCATGTTCCCATGGACAGTTTAAACCTTTGCTATGAGGAGATGAAATGGCACTTTGCTTCTGTGGTCTTGCCTGCAATGACCCATAACTCAGTCTAGTCATGAGCAAAACATCGGACAATTTCCAGTAGTGGGAGTACCCTTGAAAATAATGGACCACTACCCTCAAAACTGACAAGGTCATGGAAAACCAGCAACATCTGAGAAGCTGTGACAGCCAAGACAAACCTAAAGATACATGACACCTGCCGGGCACGGTGGCTCACGCCTGGAATCCCAGCACTTTGGGAGGCCAGGTGCGGTGGCTCATGCCTGTAATCCCAGCATTTTCGGGGGCCGGGCGTGGTGGCTCACGCCAGTAATCCCAGCACTTTGGGAGGCCAGGCGGGCGGATCACGAGGTCAGAAGATTGAGACCATCCTGGCTAACACAGTGAAACCCTATCTCTACTAAAAATACAAAAAATTAGCCAGGCGTGGTGGCGGGCGCCTGTAGTCCCAGCTACTCGGGAGGCTGAGGCAGGAGAATGGCGTGAACCCGGGAGGTTGGAGCTTGCAGTGAGCCGAGATTGTGCCACTGCACTCCAGCCTGGGCAACACAGCGGGACTCCATCTCAAAAAAAAAAAAAAAAAAAAAAATAAAGATACATGACACCTGAATGCAATGTGAAATCTTTTTGTGTGTGTGTGTGTGAGATGGAGTCTCGCCCTGTCGCCCAGCCTGGAGTGCAGTGGTGTGATCTTGGCTCACTGCAACCTCTGCCTCCTGGGTTCAAGCGATTCTCCTGCCTCAGCCTCCCAAGTAGCTGGGATTACAGGCGTGTGCCACCAGGCCTGGCCAATTTTTTCCATTTTTAGTAGAGACGAGGTTTCACTGTGTTGGCCAGGCTGGTCTCGAACTCCTGACCTCAGGTGATCCACCCACCTCAGCCACCCAAAGTGTTGGGATTACAGGCGTGAGCCACCGCGCCCAGCGATTGTTGCATTTTCAGTAGAGACGGGGAATTCACCATGTTGGCCAGGCTGGTCTCGAACTCCTGACCTTGGGTGATCCACCCGCCTCGGCTTCCCTAAGTGTTGGGATTACAGGCGTGAGCCACCACTCCCAGCCGCAATGTGAAATCTTGAATGGGATCCTGGAACAGAGAAAGACTATCAGGTAAAAACTAAGAAAATGTAAATAAACTGTAGACTGTAGCTGGGAATGTGTCGATATTTGTTCATTAATGGTAAGAAATGTGCCATACTAATGTAAGATGTTAACTCTGGGGGAAGTGGGGTGCCAGATGGCTGAGAACTCTCTGAAGCAATCATCAATTTTTTTTTGTTTGTAAATCTAAAACTTCTTGAAAAATACTCTATTAAAAATAAGAAAAAAATCACACCAGGGCTGTGGACCCTGGATGTTTCCTTACCTGTCACTACCAGCTCCAGGGTGTCACTGTACCGGAACCTGTAGTGCCCTATCCTATATTGGCACTGATAGCGCCCTGCCTTGTTTGCGTCCATGTGGTCAATGACGAACTCAGGATCAGTCTCATTCCAAAACTTCAGTCTTCTGCCTATCTCTCGGTACGTGGAGTTTTTTATGATCATCAGCTGGGTCAGGTAAGCTTCACGAATGGCCTGGCACTGGATTTTCACAGATCCATCCAAGGGAATCACAGGACTCGATTTGGCAGATATGAAAGGCATGGGAAAGTCCCCTGGAAGAAAAGAAAGCCCAGACTGAGGTGGCTTGCCATGGGGAAGCCATTCCTTTCCTTCTCTGTGGGAGAAGTAAAAATACATTAGGGTGTGAAGAACCTACCATTCTTTATTTAAAAAAAAATTTAGGCCGGGTGCGGTAGCTCACGCCTGTATTCCCAGCACTTTGGGAGGCCGAGGCGGGTGGATCACAAGGTGACGATATCAAGACCATCCTGGCTAACACGGTGAAACCCCGTGTCTACTGAAAATACAAAAAATTAGCAGGACGTGGTGGCGGGCGCGTGTAGTCCCAGCTACTCGGGAGATTGGGGCAGGAGAATGGCGTGAACCTGGGAGGCAGAGCTTGCAGTGAGCCGAGATCACACCACTGCACTCCAGCCTGGGCAACAGAGTGAGACTTCGTCTCAACAACAACAACAAAAAAATTAAAAAAAGAGAAAAATTTAAATAATTTGTGATGCTGAGGTTTGGAGTACGATTGATCCTGTCACCCAGGTACTGAGCATAGTACCCAATAGGCAGTTTTTCAACCCCCTTTCTTCCCCCCCATCTAGTAGTCTCCAGTGTCTATGGTTGCCATCTTTATTTTTTATTGTTATTATTTTTCGAGACAGAGTCTTGTTTTGTCGCCCAGGCTGCAGTGCAGTGGTGCAATCTCAGCTCCTCCGCCTCCCGGGTTCAAGCAATTCTGCTGCCTCAGCCTTCCGAGTAGCTGGGATTACAGGTGCCCACCACCATGCCTGGATAATTTTTGTATTTTTAGTAGAAACGGGGTTTCACCATGTTGGCCAGGCTGGTCTTGAACTCCTGACTTCAAGTGATCCACCTGCCTCGGCCTCCCAAAGTGCTGGGATTACAAGCGTGAGCCACCGCACCTGGCTGCAACTGGGGTTTTTGCAGAGGCAACACTGAAGCCAGGGGGACCTCCGCAGGCATTGACCCCAGAGCAGTCGGGTGCCGTTACCACAGCCCCCGCAGAGGCCACGGGCATGGTGCGTGGGAGCAGTGAGATGGCTCCACCTGCCGTTACTCCACAAGGCTCAAGGCCAGTTTCCAGCATAGTGGCCCAGCTTCTGCCTGAACTCTGCCCGGGGTCGTGGCTGCATGCTTCCCTGGAAAGCACCCAGATGGTGAAGTGGGTGACTCCACCCACCCCTGCCACTTGCAGCCAGACGGGCCAGGCTTGCTGGGTCTTCCAGCGCTGCAGACCCCCTTCTGCCTGAACTCTGTGGGGTGTGCAGCTCTGTGTTTTTCTTTTCTTTTCTTTTTTTGTTGAGATGAAGTCTCACTCTGTTGCCCAGGCTGGAGTGCAGTGGTGTGATCTTGGCTCACTGCAAGCTCCGCCTCCCGGGTTCACACCATTCTTCTGCCTCAGCCTCCCGAGTAGCTGGGACTACAGGCGCCCGCCACCACGCCTGGCTAATTTTTTTTTGTATTTTTAGTAGAGACGGGGTTTCACCATGTTATCCAGGATGGTCTCAGTCTCCTGACTTCGCAATCTGCCCATCTCGGCCTCCTAAAGTACTGGGATTACACGTGTGAGCCACCATGCCCAGTAGCTCTGTGTTCCCCTGGGAAGCACTGAGATGGCAGATCATGTGGCTCCAATCACCCTTGCTGAGAAGGACTCACCACGTTAGGTGGCGACCAAGCCGTGAGGAGCCCTCATTCTCAGAACGTTCAGAGGGGTGAAACACCTGATTTCATCAGCCTGCAGAGGTGCGGGGTGGTCCTCCCTCCATAGGGCTGGCCGGGGAAGGATACAGCCTGTCTGCCCACCATGCCCTGCCTGAGGGAGCCCCGTGGGCAGAACAATCCTAACAAAGGAAACAGTGGGTGCAGAGCCAGTGACTGTAGGAGGCTCCTCCAAGGCCCAAGAATGGACCAGGCGAGGGAGTCACCCCTCCTCACAACCACAGAGCACTACTGCCGACTTTGTCAAAATACAAGAGTTAGGGGGCCAAGGCAGGCAGATTGCTTGAGCCCAGGAGTTTGAGACCAGCCTGGTAAACATGGTGAAACCCCATCTCTACAAAAAAAAAAAAAAAATTACAAAAATTTTCTCTTTATGGTGCTGCGTGCTTGTAGTCCCAGCTACTCAGGAGGCTGAGGCAGGAGGATCACTTAGCCTGATAGGTAGAGGCTGCAGTGAGCCGAGATTGTGCCACTGTGCTCCAGCCTGGGCGACAGAACAAGACCCTGTGTCAAAAAACGAAACAAAAAACGAAACAAAACTACAAAAGAGCCTTGTGGCTAAGATCCTGTATGCTGGCCAACCCTTTTAAGTGCCACCTACTGGATCACACTTCAAAATACAACACTGAAAAATTTTGCCAGTATACAATGAAGGGAAAAATTCAGCCACAAATAAAGATCCTGTGCAGAGTCCTGGCATCTGAAAACACCCAGAAATGAAGCCAAGCGACTGTACTCAACCGACATCACAGTTAAAGGAACACCAGCCCTCACACAAGAGAAAGAATCAACACCAAGGCCGGGCGCGGTGGCTCACACCTGTAATCCCAGCACTTTGGGAGGCTGAAGTGGGCAGATCACCGGAGGTCAAGAGTTTGAGACCAGCCTGACCAACGTGACAAAACCCGGGCTCTACTAAACATACAAAAATTAGCCGGGCGTGGTGGCACACACCTGTAATCCCAGCTACTCAGGAGGCTGAGACAGGAGAATCGCTTGAACCCGGGAGGTGAAGGTTGCAGCAGTGAGCTGAGATCGTGCCACTGCACTCCAGCCTGGGCGACAGAGTAAGACTCTGCCACAAAAAAGAAAAAAAAAAGAAAAAAAAAAAAGAATCAACACAAGAACTCTGGCAACTCGATAGTTCCCCAGAAATCTGGTTCTTAGCTACATTGAGATGAATGAAACGAGGGTTATAGAATTCAGAATCTGGATGGCCAGGACGCTCTTCGAAATTGAGGAGAAATTTGAAACACAATCCAAGGGGTCCATGGTGGGGACACACTGGCTTTTTGAGTTCCCAGAATTCTTTTTCATGTGTGGGGGCCCGGTCATTATGCCACAGCCATCAGACAGAGAGGAGTCCAGTCTCTCTTCCCCGTGAGCTCCCACCCCCACTTTACCAGGCAGAGCCCCCAGCTCGGGAGTGCAGAGCAGCTGCCCCGCCCTCAGCACACTCACTGGTGGTGGCTCGTGTTTCCCTGGGGAGTGGCTCCCAGAGGCAACTGACAGCCCCTCTGCCACTGCCATGGCAAGGGTTCTGCCTCTGCTGCCCGTGATCTGGGGAAGAAGCAAGGAGCCTGGGGCCTTCATTCATGCTTCAATTTATTTATTTATTTATTTATTTATTTATTTATTTATTTATTTATTTATTTGAGACGGAGTCTCGCTCTGTCGCCCACGCTGCAGTGCAGTGGCCCGATCTCGGCTCACTGCAAGCTGCGCCTCCCGGGTTCACACCATTCTCCTGCCTCAGCCTCATCCTCCTCCCGAGTAGCTGGGACTACAGGCGCCCGCCACCACGCCCGGCTCATTTTTTGTGTTTTCAGTAGAGACGGGGTTTCACCAGATTAGCCAGGATGGTCTCGATCTCCCGACCTCGTGATCCGCCCGCCTCGGCCTCCCAAAGTGCTGGGATTCCGGGCGTGAGTCCACCGCGCCCGGCCTTCATTCATGCTTCCAGCACACCGCAGTCGCCATACGGAGAGGAGCTCAGTCTCCTCTCCCTGTGAGCCCTCAACCCCCTGCTCTTCAACAAGCCCCAGCTTGATTCCGCGGCACAACAGCCCCACCCTCTGGCGGAGCGTTCCCAGCAGCTGTGAGTCTGCGTTTCTCTGTGGCGGAGCTCCCAGAGGCAACGGAAGGTCACTCTGCCGCTGCCACTGCGGTGGTACTGGCCTTGCTGCCCTCAGACTGGGGAAGGAGCAAAGACTCTGAGTGCTTCAACCACACCTCCGGCAAACTGCCCTAAGGAGAAGAGGCCAGTCTGTCACCCCTGTGACCCACCTGTCCCCCCTGCTCATCACTAGGCAGGGCCCCTAGCTTGGACCCACAGTGCAGTCGCCTCACTCTTGGCTCATCGCACTGATAGTGGCTCCACATCTCTCTGGGGTGGAGTTCCAAGGGACAAGTGAAAGGCCGTCTGCCACAACCGCTGCTAAGGTCCCTTCCCCTGCTGCCCCCAAGCCACGGAGGGAACATAAAGTCTGAGCTCACCCCAGAGCTGTGATGTGCAGCCTGGGAGTGCCGAGCCCAGATCTGCAGCCAGCACTTGGGTGGGAGAGGAGCCCGCACTTTCAGAGCGTGAGAGGGAGCACAGCGGCAATCATGAGGAATGACCTACTGGCCGTTGTGCTGAAGCATCATTTACCGGATTGCAGCCCAAACTTCAACACCAAAAATGCTCGCTAATATACCTCCCTGTGAAACCAAGGACAAGAATTTAGCTATAAATAAAGACCCTGTGCGAAGCCCCAGCCCTCTGAAACCATCCAGAAAAGAAGTCTACTGACTGTGCTCAAATTACATCACGGTTAAAAGAAAAAAGAAAAAAATTCAAATTGCAGCACACTCAAAGGAACATTAGCCCACATGGATGAGAAAGAACTGAGCAAGAACTCCATCAACTCAAAAAGCAACAGTGTCTTCCTTCCTCCAAATTACCACACAAGCTTCCCAGCAAGGGCTCTTTACCTGGCTGAAATGACAGAAATAGAATTCAGAATATGGATAGAAATTAAGGTCATCAAGATTCAGGAGAAAGTTGAAACCCAATGCAAGGAACCTAAAGATTACAATAAAATGACAGAGGGGCTAATCTATGAGATGGTCATTTTGAAAGAACCAAACGGATCTGATGGAGCTGAAAAACACACTACGAGATTTCATAATGCGATCACAAGTATTAATGGCAAAATAAAGCAAAATAAGGAAAGAATCTCAGAGCATGAATACTGGCTCTCTGAACTAATTCAGTCAGACAAAAATGAAGAAAAAGAATAAAAATTAATGAACAAAACCTCTAAGAAATATGGGATCATGAAAAGAGACCAAATAGCCCATTGGCATCCCCGAAAGAGATGGGGAGAAAGCAAGGAACATGGAAAACATATTTCAGTGTATTGTTCATGAAAACTTCCCCAACGTCACTAGAGAGGCCAAGAATCAAATGCAGGAAACAGAGAACCCCTGCAAAATACTACACAAGAAGAGCATCCCCAAGACACAAAATCATCAGATTCTTCAAGGTAGAAATGAAAGAAAGAAATGTCGGCCGGGCGCGGTGGCTCACGCCTGTAATCCCAGCACTTTGGGAGACCAAGGCGGGCGGATCACGAGGTCAGGAGATTGAGACCATCCTGGCTAACATGGTGAAACCCCATCTCTACTAAAAAAATATAAAAAATTAGCTGGGCGTGGTGGTGGGCACCTGTAGTCCCAGCTACTGGGGAGGCTGAGGCAGGAGAATGGCGTGAATCCGGGAGGCGGAGCTTGCAGTGAGCCGAGATCACGCCATTGCACTCCAGCCTGGCAGCCTGGGCAACAGAGCAAGACTCAGTCTCAAAAAAAAAAAAAAAAATGTGAAAAGGCAGCAAAAAAGAAGGGGCAGGTCACCTACAAAGGGAATGCCATCGAGCTAACAGCAGACCTTTCAGCAGAAACTCTACAATCCAGAAGAGATTGGGGGCCTATATTTAATGTTCTTATGAAAAGAATTTCCAACCAAGAATCTCATTCCCAGCCAAACTAAGTTTCATAAGTGAAGGAGAAATAAGATCCTTTACAGACAAGCAAATGCTGAGGGAATTTATTACCATCAGGCCTGCCTTACAAGAGGTCCTAAGAGGAACGCTAAATATGGAAAGAAAAGACCATCACCAGCCAATAGAAAACACACTTACGTACATAAACCAGTGACACTATAAAACAACCACACAAACAAGTCTGCATAATAACCAAACCAGCTAACAACATGATGACAGGAAAAAATCTGCACATGTAAATGCTAACTTTGAATGTAAATGGACTAATTGTCCTAATTAAAATGCAGAGAGTGGCAAGTTGGATAAAGAAGCAAGAGGCCAGGTGCAGTGGCTCACGCCTGTAACCCTGGCACTTTGGGAGGCTGAGGTGGGTGGATCATTTGAGGTCAGGAGTTCGACATTAGCCTGGCCAATGTGATGAAATCCCATCTCTAATAAAAAAAAAAAATAGCTGGGCGTGGTGGTACACACCTGTAATCCCAGCTATTTGGGAGGCTGAGGCAGGAGAATCATTTGAACCTGGGAGGCAGAAGTTGCAGTGAGTCAAGATCATACCACTGCACTCCAGCCTGGGTGACAGAGTGAGACTCCATCTCAAAAAAAAAAAAAAAAAAAAAAGCAAGACTCAACATTATGCTGCCTATAAGAAACCCATCTCATATGCAATGACATCCATAGGCTCAAAGTAAAGAAATGGAGAAAAATCTACCAAGCAAATGGAAAGCCAAAAAAAAAAAAAAATGCAGGAGCTGCTATTAAAATTTCAGACAAAACAGACTTTATACCAACAAAGATCAAAAAAGGCAAAGAAGGGCATTAAATCATGGTAAAGGGTTCAATTCAACATGAAGACCATAGCAGGACAGTGGCCACGGAAGTCGGAATCTGCTAAGGAGTGTGTAATAGCCCAACTGCTGAATCAAAAAGAAAAAGAAAAAAAAAATTAAAAAAAGAGCATGAAGACCTAACTATCCTAAATATATATGCACCTAACATGGAAGCACCCGGATTCATAAAGCGTGTTCTGAGAGACCAACGAAGAGACTTAGACAACCACACAATAATAGGGGGAGACTTTAACATCCCGCCGACAGTATTAGATCATTGAGGCAAACAGAGATATTCAGGACCTGAACTCAGCAGTGGATCAAATGGACCTGACAGACATCTACAGAACTCTCCACCCCCAAAACAACAGAATCTACATTGTTTTCATTGCCTCATGGCACATACTCTAAAGTCAATCATACAATCAGACATACAGCAATCCTTAGCAGGCTGGGCACGGTGGCTCACACCTGTAATCCCAGCACTTTGGGAAGCCAAGGCTGGCGGATCATGAGGTCAGGAGATCGAGACCATCCTGGCTAACGCAGTGAAACCCCGTCTTTACTAAAAATACAAAAAAAATTAGCCGGGCGGGGTGGCGGGCACCTGTAGTCTCAGCTACTCAGGAGGCTGAGGCAGGAGAATGGTGTGAACCTGGGAGGCGGAGCTTGCAGTGAGCCTAGATTGCGCCACTGCACTCCAGCCTGGGCGACAGAGCAAGACTCCATTTCAAAAAAAAAAAAAACAATCCTTAGCAAATCCAGAAAAGCGAAATCAGAGCACAGTGGAATAAAAATAGGAATAAATACTAAGAAAACCACTCAAAACTGTACAATGCATGGAAATTAAGCAGTCTGTTCTGGAATTTTTGGGTAAATATAGCAGAATCTCTGGGACACAGCTAAGGCAGTGTTAAGGGGGAAGTTTATAGCACTAAACTCCCACTTCAAAAAGCTAGAAAAAGTTCAAATTAACAACCTAACATCATAACAAGAGGAACTAAGAGAACCAAGAGGAAATCAACCCCAAAGCTCATAGGAAACAAGAAATAACCAAAATCAGAGCTGAGCTGAAGGAGATTGAGACACGAAAAAGCATTCAGAAGATCAGCAAATCGAGGAGTAGAATTTTTGAAAAAATTAGTAAGACAGATGACTAGTTAGACTAATAAAGAAGAAAAGAGAGATGATCCGGATAAACACAATTAGAAACAACAAAGGGTATATTACCACTCACCCCACAGAAATACAATCATCAGAGAATATTATGAACACCTCTATGCACACAAACTAGAAAATCCAGAATAAATGGAGAAATTCCTGGACACATACACCCTCCTGAGATCAAACCAAGAATAAATTGAATACATGAACAGACCAATAATGAGCTCCAAAATTGAATCAGTAATAAAAATCCTACAGACCAGAAAAAGCCCAGTACCAGACAGACTCACAGCTGAATCCCATCTGATATATAAAGAAGAGCTGGTACTATACCTACTGAAACGTTCCAAAAATATTCAGGAGGAGGAATGCCTCCCCAGCTCATTCTATGAGACCAGCATCATCTTGATGCAAAAACATGGCAGAGACACAACAAAACCAGAAAACTTCAGGACAATATCCTTGTTGAACATAAATGCAAAAATCCTCAACAAAATACTAGCAAACTATCCAGCAGCACATCAGAAAGCTAATCCACCACCATCAGGTAGGCTTTATTTCTGGGATGCAAGGTTGATTCGATATAGGAGTCTCGCTCTGTTGCCCAGGCTGGAGTGTAGTGGCGTGAACTTGGCTCACTGCAAGCTCCGCCTCCTGGATTCACGCCATTCTCCTGCCTGAGCCTCCCGAGCAGCTGGGACTACAGGTGCCCACCACCACGCCTGGCTAATTTTTTTGTGTTTTTTAGTATAGACGAGGTTTCACCGTGTTAGCCAGGATGGTGTCGATCTCCTGACCTCATGATCCACAAGCCTTGGCTTCCCAAAGTGCTGGGATTACAGGCATGAGCCACAGTGCCCGGCCAATATACACAAATCTTAAATATGATTCATCACATAAATAGAACAACCCTCCCCACACACATAATCCTCTCAATAGAGCTTTTGATAAAATTCAACATCCCTTTATGCTAAAAAACCTCGACAAACTAGGCATTGAAGAAACATATTTCAAAATAATAAGAATGATGTATGACAAACTCACAGTCAACATCATATTGAATGGGCAAAAGCTGGAAGTATTCCCCTTGAAAACTGGCAAAAGACATGGATGCCGTCTCTCACTACTTCTGTTCAACATAGTACTGGAGGTCCTAGCTAGAGCAATCAGGCAAGAGAGAAATAAAAGGCATCCAAATAGGAAGAAAGGAAGTCAAACTATCCCTGTTTGCAGGTGATATGATTCTATACCTAGAAAACCACAGTCTCTGCCCAAACACTTCTTAATCTGATAAACAACTTTAGCAAAGTTCCAGGATACAAAATCAATATATAAAAATCAGTAGCATTCCTATACACCAAAAACATCTAAGCTGAGAGCCAAATCAAGAATAGAATCCATTCACAATTACTGCAAAAAGAATAAAATACCTGGGAATACAGCTAACCAGGGAGGTGAAAGATCTCTGCAAGGAGAACTACAAAACACTGGTCAAAGAAATCATAGATGACACAAACAAATGGAAAAACATTCCATGCTCATGGATAGGAAGAATGAGTATTGTTCAACACACAAATAATTCAGGCTTTAGAAGGAGCTGGAAGAGAGAAGACATGGATGGACGTGGGGCTCACACCCATTAGGAGGCTAAGGCAGTAGTAGTTGGGGTGGCAGAATATTCAGTAGTACACTAAGACTGCCTCATGCTTAGTACTGCAGTAGTACTACAGAATGCTAGAGTGTTCAGTAGGGTTAGACTATGGCAGCATCCTTTTAAATGAAGTGACGGGAGGAAGTGGGTTGCTAAAACAAAATAGAATCAGCATAAGGAAGGATATTGGGCAGATGACTCCTGACTTCCTCATTCTTGCAGTTTGAGCATTCAGTAAATTACAGATCCTTCATGGACAGTCTAACACAGGCAAGGACTAACTATAAATCCAGGCCTGAGCATTAATGAGTCTGAAGGGTTTGGAGATAACAAAGTGAGATAGAAATTATGCAAGAGAAGCACAGCAGAAACAACTAGAATGGGGATTAAAATAAGAATGGTGCTTCAGGCTATTCTTCAATTTCTTTATCCTAGAGCTCCCAAGAGGGTCTAAAGGGGCTGGGAGAGATTTACAGGACACTTACCTTCCTGTGCCTGAATCCTCTGGCCCAGACAGAGCACTGGAAGAGAGAGATTTATGAAAAATCAAGCTTCCATTTCCAACCTTTACGACAAATCACCCTCTGTAATGACAGACCAGAAAAAGACCAGTACCAGATGGATTCACAGCTCAATCCCACCAGATATATAAAGAAGAGCTGGCATTTTTTTTTTTTTTTGAGACAGAGTCTCGCTGTGTCGCCCAAGCTGGAGTGCAGTGGCATGATCTTGGCTCACTGCAAGCTCTGCCTCCCAGGTTCATGCCATTCTCCTGCCTCAGCCGCACGAGTAGCTGGGACTACAGGCGCCCGCCACCACGCCTGGCTAATTTTTTTGTATTTTTAGTAGAGACAGGGTTTCACCATGTTGGCCAGGATGGTTTTGATCTCCTGACCTTGTGATCCGCCTGCCTTGGCCTCCCAAAGTGCTGGGATTGCAGGTGTGAGCCACTGCGCCCGGCCAAGAAGAGCTAGTATTATTCCTACTGAAACTATTGAAAAAAATCCTGGAGGAGGGACTCCTCCCCAACTCATTCTATGAGGCCAACATTATCCTGATAACAAAATGTGGCAGAGATACAACAAAAACAGAAAACTTCTGGATAATATCTTTGTTGAACATAAATGCAAAAATCTTCAACAAAATACTAGTAACCATATTTCTATATGGGGTTCTATCATATGTTTTCCTTCCACAACAATCACAGTTTTGAGGTTCATTCTTTATTTTTACCTTTCAGATTCCAGCCTCTAAGTCTCTCCTTGATAAGAACCTTGGGACCATCATGAATCCCAGATAACACACTATAGGTTTAATACAAATATTAAACCTTGAGCCCCACAAGCTAGCTTGGGCTTGGGTAGAGACAAAGTTATAGATACATTGACAAAGACGGCCTTTCCACTAAGGAGATCAGAATCTCCTTGGCAGCCACTAAAATCTCCTAGTCACACTGTTAAGAGACACCCTGATTATTTTGGGATTTCTCTATCTTCCCCTCTAACCCACTTTTACTCTGAAACTCACCAAGACACAGGAGGGTGGTCTGTTTGGGGTCCATCGTGCTGACACGGCCTCAGCCCCGTTGCTCTCCTTTCAATGCACATTAGCAGGATGACAGATATTCTTACGACAATAAGCTCCGCAGGAAGTATGAGGACAGAGCCCCTCGTCAGGGAATTTCCACATCTATTGCCTCACAACAAAGTGGAACAGTTCGTTGCCGAATAACTTAGTTCCAGGTTGCTCTTGGGTGGAGCCCAAGAGAAGACATATATATGTATATTTTTTTAAATAGAGATGGGGTCTTTCTATGTTGGCCAGGGTAGTCTCTAACTTCTGGCATCAAGAAATCCTCCTGCCTAAGACCTATATTTCTATTTATGTTTCAGATGAGAAACGAATGAGAAGTGAATTTTCATTAAGCCAGTGTCTAATGGTGTTCAAATTCATCTTTGAACCAGATGCTACATCCAAATAGACGGGCTTGGGACAGAATATAAGGTGGTGGATACCATACAGGCAGACATTGCCTTCACTGGGCCATTAGTCAAAAGCTCTGTGGCTTTGTCTGTTCTGAACCTATGTTTCATCTCTGAGATTCATGGTCTGAGTATATTTACTTGGACTTGACCAGGCATGCAGTATACCCTTATCCTGGAGATGATCTCAATGCCAGAGTGTGGAGGCATTTTCTCTGGCACTATTTGTCATCTCTAAAGAAAGAATCTACTATTTTATTATACTTTTTTGTTTATTTGTATAAATTTAAGGAGCGCAAGTGAAATTTTATTACGTGGATATTTTGTGTAGTGGTGAAGTCTGGGCTTTTAATATAATTATCCTCAAATAATGTACATTGTTGCTCATTGAGTATTTTTTTAACTTTTATTTTAGGTTCAAGGGTACATGGGAAGGTTTGTTATACAGGTAAACTTGTGTCATGGGGGTTTGTTGTACAGATTATTTCATCACCTAGGTAATAAGCTTGGTACCTAATAGTTACTTTGCCTGCTCCTTTCCCGCCTCCCACCCTCCACCCTAAAGGAGACCCCATTGTCTGTTTTTCCCTTTTTTGTGTTCATGAGTTCTATTATTTAGCTTCCACTTATAAGTGAGAACCTGCTGTATTTGGTGTTCTGTTCTTGTATAGTTTGCTAAGGATAATGGCCTCCAGCTCCATCCATGTTTCCACAAAACATATGAACTCATTCTTTTTTTATGGCTTCAAATTAATTTTATTTTTATCTTATTATTTATGTTATTTTGATTGTAGACTCCTGGCTATCACGAATTCTTCAGGTATGGAGAGTGAAATATTCCTAATTAAACCTTCTACTATTTTATTTTATTTTATTTATTCTTTTTTTTTTTTTGAGACGGAGTCTTGCTCTGTCGCCCAGGCTGGAGTGCAGTGGCGTGATCTCAGCTCACTGCAAGCTCCACTTCCTGGGTTCATGCTATTCTCCTGCCTCAGCCTCCCGAGTAGCTGGGACTACAGGCATCCGCCACCACGCCCGGCTAATTTTTTTTGTATTTTCAGTAGAAACGGGGTTTCACCGTGTTAGCCAGGATGGTCTCGATCTCCTGACCTCGTGATCCACCCACTTCGGTCCCCCAAAGTGCTGGGATTACAGGCGTGAGCCACCGCGCCCCACTTTATTTTCATTTTAATACATCATAACTTAGCCCTTCCAACGCCGAAGTATTTTGAAGTCCTGAGCTTGTCCCATATTTCAGAAAGCCGATCAGCTTCCATGTTGACTGTTTCATTTGTGCAAATTTAAGTGACCTTTTGTTTTGCCACATTTTGTTAATTTCCACATACATATTTACGTTCGGGAAATTTGGAAATACTACGTTCTGGAAATTTGGTGTTGATGATTGCATGAAATTGACCGCATTCTAATTTTCTTTTTTTGTTGTTTTGTTACTTATGCCTTATTTATTCATTCCTTTGTTCTCACTTGAATGGGACTTTGGGTGAAAGACAAATAATGGCTGTACTCTTAGTTGAGTATTTAAAATGCAGAGATTGTAAAGGCAGGATGACCTAATTAAAAATACTATTGTTGGCTGGGTGCAGTAGCTCATGCCTGTAATCCCAGCACTTTGGGAGGCCAAGGCAGGTGAATCACTTGAGTTCAGGAATTTAAGACCAGCCTGGTCAATGTGGTGAAACCCAGTCTCTACTAAAAATATAAAAAATTACTTGGGTGTGGTGGCGGGTGCCTGTAATTCCAGCTACTCGGAAGGCTGAGGCAGGAGAGCCACTTGAACCCAGGAGGCAGAGGTTGCAGTGAGCCAAGATCACTGCACTCCAGCCTGGGCAACACAGAGCGAGACTGTGTCTCAAAAAAACAAAAGCTATTGTTATGGTTTACAAATGACGTGGCTTTCTATTGGGAGAGAGATACTTACTAATTGTTGAATTTCAGGAACTTCAGTGGCCAATATTTACTAATGGGCTGGAACAGATTTTGTCAACTTACCACAACATTTGGTGTGGTTTTGTTCTTTTGTTTCCTCCTTTTGTGGAACAGGAATGGTAACGTAGCCATGGGGTGCTGAGATATTTGGTTAAACATTATTCTGTGTGTGTCTGTGGGGGTGTTGCTGAATGAGATTATCAATGGAATTAGTGTAATTTATAAAGCAGATTGCTCTCCCTAATGTGAGTCGGCCTCATTCAATCAGGTGGGACCTGAATAGAACAAAACATTGAACTGGTAATGTAAGATGAAGTTCCTTTTGCCTGGACATCAGTCTTTTCTGGCTCTTGAACTCTCACTAAAACATTGACTCTTTAGATGTTAAGCCTGCCAGCTTTTTTTGTTTGTTTGTTTTTTTGAGATAGAGTCTCACTCTGTCACCCAGGCTGGAGTGCTGTGGCATGATCTCGGCTCACTGCAACCTTCACCTCTTGGGTTCAAGCAATTCTCGTACCTCAGCCTCTGAGTAGCTGGGATTACAAGCGAATGCCACTATGCCCGGCTAATTTTTGTATTTTTAGTAAAGATGGGGTTTCACCATGTTGGCCGGGCTGGTCTTGAACTCTGACCTCAGGTGATCTGCCTGCCTTGGTCTCCCAAAGTGTTGGGATTACAGGCGTGAGCCATCATGCCCGGCATGAGCCTGCTAGCTTTTGGACTGTTACGTATACCACTAACTCTACTGGTTCTCAGACTTTTGCACGTAGACTGGAACTACACGTGGACTCCCCTGGGTCTCCAGCTTGCAGATGGCAGATCATGGGACCTGTCAGTCTACATAGTTGCATAAGCCAATATATAAATACCCTATCTGTGTATCAATCATTATATATCTGTCATTATCCAACTATATGTCTATCATTATTTGTGATATCATTATATATCTATCATTATTTGTCTATCAATCATTATCTATATATCTATCATTATTAGTGTTGATTATTTTTTTTTCTGGAGAACCCTGACTACTATAGCTTCCATGTTCCTGTCTCAACTGTCACCAGTCCCCTTAGCACAGGGCCTATCATAGCCATTCTACGGCCCAAGGAATTACAAGCCACATAACTACAGGAGTCACAGTGACCCAAGGATTTAGACGGAGACACGGAAGAATTGAGGCATCTATTGGTCTCTGCATATTTTGGGATTTGGGATTTCCCAGCAGGGAAATTTGCCTTGAATCTGTCTAACTGGTCACTAAGAGTTGATTGGTAGGTTCCATTCTCCGTGCACAGCATAAACCCTAATAAGCCCAAACTGACTGGCAGTGGAGACTCTCAACCCTCAATGGGACCAAACTGTGACTGGCAGTGGAGACTCTCAACCCTCAATGGGACCAAACTGTGACTGGCAGTGGGGACCTTCAACCCTCAGTGGGACCGAACTGTGACTGGCAGTGGGGACCTTCAACTCTCAGTGGGACTTTACAGCACTCAGCTGCACCTGTGTGGAGAATTTGTCTCAAACACCTAAGAAGGAAGGAGGCCTTTGTTTCGAGGAAGAAGAAGGGGAGCTGCTTCTCTATCCACTGACCTCAGAGGTACCGGAGAGTGTCCAGTGAGGGCCTTAACTCTCTGCAGTATTTTTTTTTTTTTTGAGATGGAGTCTCACCCTGTCGCCCAGGCTGGAGTGCAATGGCAGGATCTCGGCTCACTGCAACCTCTGCCTCCCCAGTTCAAACGATTCTCCTGTCTCAGCCTCCTGAGTATCTCAGATTTACAGGCACCTGCCACCATGCCCAGCTATTTTTTGTATTTTTAGTAGAGACAGAGTTTCACCATGTTGGCCAGGCTGATCTCGAACTCCTGACCTCGTGATCTGCCCACCTCCGCCTCCCAAAGTGCTGGGATTATAGGCGTGAGCCACTGCACCCAGCCACTCTCTGCAGTTTTAAAGGCCATTTCCATGAATTAGAGTATACTTAGGCACTGAGGTAAGCATGGCACAGCTTTCTGAAAATAAAGTTGAAACTTAGAGGTTTCTTTTAGCTTTATTGAGATATGATTGACAAATGGAAATTGTATATATTTAAGGTGTATTACACTTGATGTTTTGATGTATGTATACATGGTGACATGATCATCATAGTCAAGCTAGTTATATCCATCATCTCGCAGGGTTATTGTTTTTTTTTTTTTTTTTTTTTTGAGAGGAAGTCTTACTCTGTCCCCCAGGCTAGAGTGCAGTGGTGCCATCTTGGCTCACTGCAACCTCCGCTCCCAGGTTCCAGCAATTCTCGTGCCTCAGCCTCCTGAGTAGCTGGGATTACAGGCTTGTGTCACCACGCCTGGCTAATGTTTGCATTTTTAGTAGAGACAGGGTTTCACCATGTTGGCCATGCTGGTCTTGAACTCCTGACCTCAAGTGATCTGCCCGTCTTGGCCTCCCAAAGTGCTGGGATTACAGGCGTGAGCCACCGCGCCCGGCCTATGGTTTCTTTTTCTTTCTTTCTTTTTTTTTTTTTTGTGGTGAGGACCCTTAAGATCTACTCTCCCAGCCGGGCGTGGTGGCTCATGCCTGTAATCCCAGTACTTTGGGAGGCCGAGGCAGGCGGATCACGAGGTCAGGAGATCGAGACCATCCTGGCTAACACAGTGAAACCCCGTCTCTACTAAAAATACAAAAAATTAGCAGGGCGTGGTGGCGGGCGCCTGTAGTCCCAGCTACTCGGGAGGCTGAGGCAGGAGAATGGCGTGAACCCAGGAGGCGGAGCTTGCGGTGAGCCGAGATCGCGCCACTGCACTCCAGCCTGGGTGACAGAGCAAGACTCCAGCTCAAAAAAAAAAAAAAAAAAAAAAAAAATCTACTCTCCCATGCTTGCCTCGGCAGCACATATACTAAAATTGGAACGATACAGAGAAAACTAGCATGGCCCCTGCGCAAGAATGACACGCAAATTCGTGAAGTGTTCCATATTTAAAAAAAAAAATCTACTTTCCTGGTAAATTTCAAGTATAGAGTACAGTATTGTCAACCATAGTGGCAAAGCTGTACAAGAGATCTTCAGACCCATTCCTCCTGAATACCTGATAGTTTGTATCCTTTGATCAACATCTCCCAATTCCCTCCCCCACACTGTCCCTGTAGTTCTAGTGAGTTTCCCAGACTCTGATGTCTCAATTTCATTCAGTCACTTTCCTCCAGATACATCTACCCATTCCTACTGCATCTTAGTATCCTGAGCCTTGGGGGCAGTTTCTGTGCCAAGTGGAAATGTGGAAATGAGATATTACGAAGAAAAATCTTTGCCCACCTAGACAGGGATCTGATGTTTTCCAAGATGACACATGATTACATGTTGAAATGATAATATTTTGAGTCTACTTGTATAATAAAATAATATTTTGGATCTATTAGGTTAATATTTTGGGTCTGTTGGGTTAATAATATTTTGGGTCCATTGGGTTAACTTAAATTAATTTTATCTGTTTCTTGTTAGCTTTTTAATTTGGATACTAGCAAGTTTGAAAGAATGCATGTGGTTTGCATTATGTTTCTATAGGACAGAACTTACCTGTAGATGTAAGGGAGTCACAACAAAATTACAAGCATTGTTTTTGGTGGAAATGAGAAAAATGATTACAAATTTACATGGAAAAGCAAATAGCCAATAATAATAATAATGGCAATCTTAAAGAGGAAGGAGAAATTAGAGGATTCAGGCTGCCAAATTTTAAGGGGTTCTATAAGGCCACATAAAGTGCAGCATCCTCATGAGAGTGGACACAGAGAGCCACTGAGCAGAAAAGAGTGTGTAAAATACATCTGTGTACACACAGTCCTTTTATAGTTGACAGAGGCTGCCATGCGGATTAAGGTGGAATAGAATGTCTTCTCAGTAAATAACATTGGACCAGAGGGTTACAAGCAGGAAAAAATAAATCTAAGCTTATTTTCACACCATAAAAACACTGCTAATTTTTTATCTTATTATCATACATTTTGATGATTTATTTATAAAATTGATGAATGAAAATTATATACAGTTGTCCTTCACTATTCATGGGTGATTGGTTCCAGGAAACCCCCCTCCCTACCAGACACCAAAATCTGCAGATGCTCAAGCCTGTTGCATGAAATGGCACAGCGTTTGCATATAACCCATGCACATCCTCCTGTATACATGAAATCATCTCTAGATTACTTATAATTCCTGATACAGCCTACACACCACCTCACTTGTGTCCACACAATATAGTATTTTTGCTTTTTGGAACTTTGTGGATTTTTTCTCTGAATATTTTTGATTTATATTTGGTTCAATAAACACCTGTAAACCCCACAGATATGGAGGAGCGACTGTATATTTATAGTATGAAAGATGATGTGTTGACATGTGTCCCTGTGGAGATGAGACTAACAAGGCCTATGACTCTACAAATGTTTCATCTTGGAATGACTCTGCCAGCTTTCCAGGTCTGCAGAGAGTAAGAATATCACTTGTTCATGTGATTCACGATCCTTGGAACCTCCTATGTGCTGCATCTTTGGATGGAAATTGGAGTCCCAGAGACAAATGAGGCTCCACCCTGCTTCCAGAAGCTCAGAGTCCAGGGCTGAGAACCCAGTAGAGAACATATCAGGTTATATGGACATAGTAATGATAACACTGGAAACTTTTGGCGAATAAAGAGTCACATTATCGAAACCATGAGGGCAGACATGTTTATTTGAAGAGGAGAGAGCTACACTGAAGTTATAAAAAAAATTTATAAATTTTACTGATGACAGAAGGCTGAAAGATAGTCTGAGGGGAGGTGGAACAGCATGAGGGAAGGTGGAACAGCAAGTGTGTAAGTGCCGTGTTAAGAGGGAGCCTCTTGTATGTTTGGAATTGTGAGTTCCTCAGTGTGATTGCAGCCTCAAGTAGGACTAGGAAGTAAGCCAGTTAGGTTGGAGAGGTGGGCAGGGGTCAAGTGAAATAGATACTTGTGGGCTAAGCAAAGGAGTGTGTTTTCTCTGCAGCAGGCAGTGGCGACCTTAGGCATTTGTAAGCAAGAGAGAGGCATGTTCAGATTCGTGGTGTGAGGAAGAGCGATCCCCTAAGATGCAGACTGATGCCTTCAGATTCCAGCTGCTGGTTCATTGGATCTGGCAACCTGGTTTTGAGACAGGGCTGTTGTCTCCCTAGAAAACCCCCTCAAGACCTGACTGTGGTGCTCGTGGGCAGGAGACAACTTTGGATCTGGGCTCAGCATTTGGAAGTTCCGTGTACACGCTGGTATCTGTTAGGGGTGTCTTGGGCCTCTGAGAAGGGCGACTGATTTTTCTCTGTATGAAAACGCAGTGATCCAACTGTGCGTACGTCACCTCCTGAGGGTCTTGTTCATCAGAGTCCTGGAGAGAGGGAAATGCTGAGTGAGGGAGGGTGCTCACATTTTTCAGGACTATTAGGGATAAGACTGTATCCGTGAGGCTGGGCCGAGGAGGACCTACCTGCCTATTCACTGTTCTGTCCCCCGCAGGCTCTTGGTCCATTACAGCAGCATCTGTAGGAGACGGAAGTCATCAAAACCGCTTGGAGGGCCCTTCTGGGTCCTCATTTCATGGGCAGACACCAACCCACAGGGGGAGGCTGTAGGTGCCTGAGGCTCTTCAGCTGCCAACATCCAGACTCAGACATTCTATCTCTCTGAGTTCAAGACCCCATCCCATGAAGTGCTCTCAATTGGCATCCCATTGATTCTGTCTCCCACTTTCTGCCTGTCATGGAAGCTTCTGGATGTCAGTGGCTGCAGGGGATGTGAGGATACAGTTCAGAACCAGGCAATGGTCTGTGAGCTGAAGGCAGGGGCAGGTTGTCTGGTGCTCTCTCTAGAAAGCCCTGCCTCTGTGGCTCCTCCCTTGGGCCAGGGACCATCCTGCCAGTGAGGAACACACACCCGCGTGCTCCCATCCTGCTTCCCCACATGGCCCTGAGCTCTCTGGCCTCTGCTTCGTGAGACTTACTCTTTTTGTTGGAGCACCAGCGATAAAGGAGAAAGAAGAGGAGGAGGATGAAGAGGAAGATGACCACTGAGGTCCCAATCAGAACATGCAGGTGTCTGCAGATACCTGGAGGAAGATGGGAATCCAATAAGAAGCTAATCATAGCAGTTCCTCTTTATGGATTGTCTCATTTCTTGATTGACAGGTAACCACATGGAACATCTCCTTAGGACAAGCAGCCTGATGGCGGGAGACCCAGCTTTCTCCTGCTTTCTCAGTTACAGCTCTCATAGAAACCATAGAACATGCTGAGGATACAGCTGCTTTAGTTTAGATGTTTGACCCTTTGAAACCTCACACTGAAATATTGAAATTTAACCCCCAGTGTGGAAGTTTGGGCCTATGGGAAGGTGTTTGAGTCATGGAGGTGGATCCATCATGAATAGATTAATGCTGCCCCACATGATGGGGTTAGCAAGTTCCCCCTCTATTAGTTCCCGGAGGGCTGGTTGTTAAAAAGAGCTTGGAAGCTCCATCGCTCGCCCTCCCCCTTGCTCCCTCTCTTGCCATGTGATCTCTGTGGTCTCTGCACAGACAGACCCTCCTTCCCTTCTGCCAGAGTGGGAGCAGCCTGAGGCCGTCACAGGAAACAGATGCTGGTGCCATGCT
Organism: Homo sapiens; assembly: GCF_000001405.40. NCBI lineage: Eukaryota > Metazoa > Chordata > Mammalia > Primates > Hominidae > Homo > Homo sapiens. Next base: position 141,211 of record NT_187676.1, on the reverse strand, counting down.
TCCAGTACAGCCTGCAGAACTGTGAGGCAAACAAATCTGTTTTCTCTAGAAGTTGCCCAGGCTCTGGGATGCAAGGCTGGTTCAATATATGCAAATCAATAAATGTAATCCATCATATAAACAGAACCAAAGACAAAAACCGGACGACTATCTCAATAGATGCAGAAAAGGCCTTTGACAAAATTCAACAACGCTTCATGCTAAAAACTCTCAATAAATTAGGCATTGATGGGACGTATCTCAAAATAATAAGAGCCATCTATAACAAACCCACAGCCAGTATCATACTGAATGGGCAAAAACTGGAAGCATTCCCTTTGAAAACTGGCACAAGACAGGGATGCCCTCTTTCACCACTCCTATTCAACATAGTGTTGGAAGTTCTGGCCAGGGCAATTAGGCAGGAGAAGGAAATAAAGGGTATTCAATTAGGAAAAGAGGAAGTCAAATTGTCCCTGTTTGCAGATGACATGATTGTATATATAGAAAACCCCATTGTCTCAGCCCAAAATCTCCTTAAGCTGATAAGCAGCTTCTACAAAGTCTCAGGATACAGAATCAATGTACAAAAATCACAAGCATTCTTATACACCAATAACAGACAAACAGAGAGCCAAATCATGAGTGAACTCCCATTCACAATTGCTTCAAAGAGAATAAAATACCTAGGAATCCAACTTACAAGGGATATGAAGGACCTCTTCAAGGAGAACTACAAACCACTGCTCAATGAAATAAAAGAGGATACAAACAAATGGAAGAACATTCCATGCTCATGGGTAGGAAGAATCAAGATCGTGAAAATGGCCATACTGCCCAAGGTAATTTATAGATTCAATGCCATCCCCATCAAGCTACCAATGACTTTCTTCACAGAATTGGAAAAAACTACCTTAAAGTTCATATGGAATCAAAAAAGAGCCTGCATTGCCAAGTCAATCCTAAGCCAAAAGAACAAAGCTGGAGGCATCATGCTGCCTGACTTCAAACTATACTACAAGGCTACAGTAACCAAAACAGCATGGTACTGGTACCAAAACAGAGATATAGATCAATGGAACAGAATAGAGCCCTCAGAAATAATGCCACATATCTACAACTATGTGATCTTTGACAAACCTGAGAAAAACAAGCAATGGGGAAAGGATTCCCTATTTAATAAATGGTGCTGGGAAAACTGGCTAGCCATAGGTAGAAAGCTGAAACTGGATCCCTTCCTTACACCTTATACAAAAATTAATTTGAGATGGATTAAAGACTTAAACGTTAGACCTAAAACCATAAAAACCCTAGAAGAAAACCTAGGCATTACCATTCAGGACATAGGCATGGACAAGGACTTCATGTCTAAAACACCAAAAGCAACGGCAACAAAAGCCAAAATTGACAAACGGGATCTAATTAAACTAAAGAGCTTCTGCACAGCAAAAGAAACTACCATCAGAGTGAACAGACAACCTACAAAATGGGAGAAAATTTTCGCAACCTACTCATCTGACAAAGGGCTAATATCCAGAATCTACAATGAACTCAAACAAATTTACAAGAAAAAAACAAACAATCCTATCAAAAAGTGGGCAAAGGACATGAACAGACACTTCTCAAAAGAAGACATTTATGCAGCCAAAAAACACATGAAAAAATGCTCACCATGACTGGCCATCAGAGAAATGCAAATCAAAACCACAATGAGATACCATCTCACACCAGTTAGAATGGCGATCATTAAAAAGTCGGGAAACAACAGGTGCTGGAGAGGATGTGGAGAAATAGGAACACTTTTACACTGTTGGTGGGACTGTAAACTAGTTCAACCATTGTGGAAGTCAGTGTGGCGATTCCTCAGGGATCTAGAGCTTGAAATACCATTTGACCCAGCCATCCCATTACTGGGTATAAACCCAAAGGACTATAAATCATGCTGCTATAAAGACACATGGACACGTATGTTTATTGTGGCACTATTCACAATAGCAAAGACTTGGAACCAACCCAAATGTCCAACAATGATAGACTGGATGAAGAAAATGTGGCACATATACACCATGGAATACTATGCAGCCATAAAAAATGATGAGTTCATGTCCTTTGCAGGGACATGGATGAAATTGGAAATCATCATTCTCAGTAGACTATCACAAGGACAAAAATCCAAACACCGCATGTTCTCACTTATAGGTGGGAATTGAACAATGAGAACACATGGACACAGGAAGGGGAACATCACACTCTGGGGACTGTTGTGGGGTGGGGGGAGGGGGGAGGGATAGCATTAGGAGATATACCTAATGCTAAATGACGAGTTGATGGGTGCAGCACACCAGCATGGCACATGTATACATATGTAACTAACCTGCACATTGTGCACATGTACCCTAAAACTTAAAGTATAATAATAATAAAAATTTTAAAAAAAAGCTCATCAGAAGCACTATACAAAAAAAAAAAAAAAAAAAAAGAAGTAACCCAGGCTCAAGTGTTCTTTTATAGCAACAAAAATGGACTAAGACAGCAACGTCCTGAGATCAGGAGGAACGTCTCAGAACAGCCTGTGCTGTCTTCCTGTTCTTCCTGGAGGAGGACGTCATGCAGTGCTTTAGCTGAGTGCTTCCTGTGGCTTCAGGGTACAAAACCCAGGCTGGGCTATTTTCTGGCTTCCCCCAGATACACTGCAAATGAGGTGACTCCATATGTCCCGAGCAGCTTTTCTGAGCCTTGAGGGACTGGCTCACGTTGAAATGTAGGCTTCTGTTGTCACTCGCTGCTTATCTGTTAGTAATGAACCTGCCTATGTAACGTATTCTCTGTGTGTTCTGTCTCCCTGGAGTGACGGTGAGTGATAGAAATTGGCATAGGCCCAGGTGCAGTACAGCAGGTGTTTAGAGTCTTCTCTGGAAAGACTGGACTGGGATTGATACACAGTGAATGTGCTTTACAGTTTCTACATCCACAACCCTCTTGACTCAAATTACATTCTCCAAGAAAAGGACACAAAAGTGAAATCATGATCAAAAAAGCAAAGTAGAATTCTCTTATGTCAAACAGCCAGGAAATAATGATGAAGCCCATGTGAAACGTGCTACTCTTTGTGATCTCGCGAGACACATGTTAGGCTGCTGTTCCACCTGAGAGGCTGGGGGAAAGACCACCCCCTCCACCATCTATTGCTTCAAAACCACCTGTCCTCCTGTGAATTAGTAGGAAAGGGGAGCAGGAGCTAGTGCTGGTGCTGATCTCTGATTCCAAGATCTGAACTCACTCCAAGGAGTATTAGCGTTTACCTCCCCATGATCTATCTGTATCTCCACAGGTGATTGGAAGTAGGGGTGAGGTGGGGGATTTGGGTGAGGGGGAAAGTTTCTTGTGATGAACAGAGCACTTTCCCTATTTCAGGGCCTGTGCTGGTGGGTTCAGGGGGCTTTCATATTTTCCATATGATCTCATGTTCACAGAAAGCCAAATATGGAAGAGGTTTTAGGCTGATTTTCTAATGGATAAGATAAAGGATCAAAGAAGTAATTATAGAGGAATAGAAAAATGATGATTGGAATTCAGGTGCCTGCATCATTTGTGTATATTATTATATTTATGTATTTTTTATTTTTATTTTTTGAGACAGAGTATCCCTGTGTAGCCCAGGCTGGTGTGCAGTGATGCGATCTCCACTCACTGCAACCTCTGCCTCCAGGGCTGAAGTCATTCTCCTGCTTCCTCCTCCAGAGTAGCTGGGATTACAGTCATGCACCACCATCATGCCTGTTTAATTTTTGTATTTTTAGTAGAGATAGGGTTTCTCCATGTTGGCCAGGCTGGTCTCGAACTCCTGACTTCATGTGATCCACCCGCGTTGGCCTCCTGAAGTGCTGGGTTACAGGCGTGAGCCACCGTTCACAGCCTTGTATATTATGCTATACTAGGTCCCTTCATTTGCACCACCCCTCATCTAGCTCTCCCTCCTCTGCCAGGTATTGATTTAGATGCAGGAGAAATAAATCTCAGAAATAAGTTAGTGAAGCGAGGATTAAACTACCAGGAAAAATTAAACCCAGCAAGCCTTTCCAGCCAATGATTCTACCTCACAAACATATCTTATATCCATCTACTTCATTCATTTAGTGTCTAAATCAGCACCACATTTCACCAGTGGGGCGGCAATTGCCTTTTCCACGGTCTCCTAGATTCCAGTTATGCAACTGAGCCTCCCTTATTTTCATGTCAGTCATATTAATCATGTAGGGATTCCTGGTTACCTCGAGGTGAATCCAATGGCTGTGAGTGTCAAACACACGCTCCTTGTTGCTCCTTAGTTTCCTGTGTACCCAGTGTGCTCTCCGTCTCTCTACAGTCATCTTGTCATTCTCCCCACCTCATTCCCAGCATTTCAGGCAGAGCCTCTTCCTTCCACATCAGATTGTTTTCACCTTTGTGCCTTCACGGCTGACAGCTGTGTGTGCAAAATCCTTCCGCCAATCTTTCAGGGGTTCAATCCGTGTTTTTCATTAATGTCACAAATATCTGATTAGTGAGAACTTCTCTGTCACCTGAAATAATACACTCAGCATTATCTATTATTGATTTGAAAATTTGGCTTGGCCCCGTGGCTCATGCCTCTTATCCCAGCGTGTTGGGAGGCAGAGGCTATTGGATCACCTGAGGTTGGGAATTTGAGACCAGCCTGGCCAACATGGTGAAACATCCTCTCTACAGAAAATATGCAAAAAGAGTTAGCCGGGCGTGGTGGTTGTGGTCTGTAATCCCAGCTACTGGAGAGGCTGAGGGAGGAGATCAGTTCAGCCCAGGAGGTGGAGGTTGCAGTGAGCCGAGATCATGCCACCGCACTCTAGCCTGGACGACAGAGCAAGGCTCCGTCTCAATAAACAAGTAGGTAAATACATAAATAAATAGATTTCATGCACAGATGCTTCTCAATAGATCATTCATTTATTGGTCCCCTTGTGCCTACATTTTCTGCCCTCCCATTTAACCATCTGCAAGATCAGTGTCCCAAGAACAGAGGCCAAATGCATCTTGTTCACTGTTTGTGGAAGGCAGGAGAATGTTGTCCCACCCCAAAAATGTCCATGTCCTAGCCTCCATAGCTTGTGAATATGTTATTTTACATGAAAGGAGGAATGAAGATTGCAGATGGAATTATGGTTGCTAGTCAGCTGAACTTAAAAGGAGGGTATCCTGGATGATTTCCGGGAGATTATGATGGATTTTCATCTTGGTGAACCCAATAGAATCCCCAAGTTTTCAAAAGAAGGGCAAGAAGGGAGAGCAGCATTCAGAGAAAGAGGTGTGGTAAGGAAGAAGGGTCTGAGTGATGCCATGTGAGATGTGACCAGTCTTTGTGGGCTTTGAGGAAGGAGGAAGGGTACCAGGAGCCAAGGAACATGGGAGCCTCTAGAAGCTGAGAAAAGTGAGAAGCAGATTCTTGCCTGGAACCCTCAGAGGGAAGGCAGCCTTGCTGTCACCTTGATTTTAGCCCAGTGACATGCACGTCATGCTTTGAGCTACAGCACTGTAAGATAATTAAATAACCGTTTTGTTTTCACACACGAATCTTGTGGAAATTTGTTATGGCAACAATAGGAAAAGCTTCCACACTGCACAGCCTGAGCATGGGGCTGTGGCTGAATGAGTCACTGAGTCGAAGTGTGCGTGCATGAGCTCTGTTCTCTGTTACGGCAAGGCTCTTGCTCTGCTGAGTCAGCCAGGGTTGCCTGATGACCAACAGTAATTCATTCCTTGGCAAGTGGAACTTCTCTAAAACACCCACCCTCATCAGATGTTCCCTTCCCTTCCCTCTCTCAAGCCCCCGGGAATTTATCCTCCAGTTAGGAATGCAGGCAGAAAAAACACTGCATTTTTCCTGAGAAGGATGTCAGATTGGCAATTATTCTTCTAGCTTGTAGGAGGTCTCACCTGCAGGAAATTAAAGGTAAAGAGACTTCGCTGAGCCCTTTGGTGGCCCTAGATCCCTTTCACTGTTGGAGTGTCTGGAGTTCAGAGATGGTGGAAGACAGGCCCTCATTCACAGAGCTGGGAGGTTTGAGCCAACACTTGCATCCAAGGCTTCCACCTCCCCAGGTTTCCAAAAGCAGAGATAAGAGGGGTCCTTTACTCACCAGATTTGGAGCTTGGTTCTGTGGGTGAAGGCCAACTACTTGAAGGGTTTCCTAGAACACGGGACAGGAGAGATGTGAGGAAATGAGGGTGCTTGTCCTCTACTCAATGGAAATCTTTGAGGTTGGTTCATGGCCAACACTCTGTTATCTAATGTTGGACCCTGGGAGTCTTGGGATCCTTTTCTCCATAATTTTTGTGTGCGATGCCCACTGTCTTGAGACTTGAAGGTATAAAGAGAAAACAGGAGCATCACACTACCTGACTTAGAAATATGTTACAGAGCTGTAGTAAGCAAAACAGCATGACATTGGCATAAAGAAAGGCACATAAAAAATGGAACGGAATGGAGAACACAGATATAATCCATGCATTTACATCCAATGGCTTTCTTTTGTGTGTGTGTGATAGAATCTTGCTCTGTCATGCAGGCTGGAGTGTAGAGGTGCAATCTCAGCTCAATGCAACCTCCACTTCCTGGATTCAAGAAATTCTCTTGCTTCAAACTCCTGAGTAGTGGTATTACAGGCACTGATCACCATGCTCAGCTAATTTTTGTATTTTTAGTAGAGACGAGGTTTCACTCTGTTGGCCAGCCTGGTCTTGAACTCCTGGCTTTAGGTGATCCACCCGCCTCGGCCTCCCAAAGTGCTGGAATTGCAGGTGTGAGCCACCATACCCAGCCCATTTAATGGACTTTGACAAAGGTGCCGAGAACTTACAATCAGGAAAGGACAGTCTTCAATAAATGGTGTGGGGAAAACTGGATATCTACATGCAGAGGAATAAAACTGCATCTATACCTGTCACCTTACACAAAAATCAAATGAAAATGGATTAAAAACATGAGTCTAAGGCCTGAACCTATGAAACATGTAGAAGAAAATAATGGGGAAGACATTTGTCTGACGAAAGACATTTTGTTTAAAACCTTCAAAACACAAGTAATCAAAGCAAAAAATAGACCATTAGGATTACATCAAACCAAGCAACTTCTGCACCACCAAAGATAAACCAACAAAGTGAAGAGACAACCCACAAAATAGGAGCAAATATTTGCAAACTATTCATCTGAGATGGGATTAATAACTGGAAATATAAGAAGCTCAAACAACTCAATAAAACAATTTAATTAAAAAACGAGCAAAAGACATGAGGAGACATTTCTCCACAAACAAAACATAGAAATGGCGATCACGTATATGAAAAAGTGCTCAGCATCACTCATCATCACAGAAATGTAAATTACAATCGCGATGAGTTTTCATCTCATCCCATTAAAATGCCTTTTAGGCCGGTGGCTCACGCCTGTAATTCCAGCACTTTGGGAGGCGGAGGTGGGCGGATCACCTGAGGTCGGGAGACCAGCCTGACCAACATGGAGAAACTCCCTCTCTACTAAACATACAAAAATTAGCTAGGCGTGGTGGCACATGCCTGTAATCCCAGCTACTTTGGAGGCTGAGGCAGGAGAATCAGTTGAACGCGGGAGGCAGAGGTTGCAGTGAGCCGAGATCACACCCTTGCACTCCAGCCTGGGCGACTATGAGTGAAACTCCATCTCAACATAAATAAATAAATAAATAAAGTAAAGTAAAATGGCTTTTATCTGCAAGACAGGCAAAACAAATGCTGGCAAGATGGTAGAGAAAGGAGAACCCTGGTACCCTGTTGGTAGGAATGTAAATTAGTACAACTATTATGGAGAAAAGTATGGAAAATCTTTAAAAAACTAAAAGGAGGCTGGGCATAGTGGCTTATGCCTGTAACTTCAGCACTTTGGGAAACCGAGGCAGGCACCTCACTTGAGGTCAGGAGTTTGAGAGCAGCCTGCCCAAAATTGGGATATCCCGTCTGTGCTAAAAAATACAAGAATTAGTCAGGCATGGTGGCGTGCACCTGTAATCACAGCTATTAGGGAGGCTGAGTCAGGAGAATCGTTTGAACCTAGGAAGCAGAGGTTGCAATGAGCCAAGATCGCACCACTTTGACTCCAGCTTGGACTAAGGAGGGAAACTCTTTCTCAAAAAAGAAAAAAAAAAAAAGAGAACTTTCATAGTGTCCAGCAATTTCACTACTGGGTTTATATCCAAAGGAAAGGACATCAGTGTATCGAAGTGATATCTGCACTCATATGACTGTTCCAGCACTGTTCACAGTAGCCAAGATGTGGAGTCAACCTACCTGCCTATCAGTGGGTGAATGGATAGAGAACTGTAGTACACACACACGGTGGAGACTACTCATCCATAGAAACAATAACATCCTGTCATTTGCAGCCACATGGATGGAACTGGAGGTCATTACAAAGATTCCCATTTCTCACCACATGCAGGAGATAAAAGGTGGATCTCATGAAGGTAGAGAATAGAATGGTGGATACCAGAGGCCAGGAAGGGAAGGGTGGAAGGTAACAAAAAAAAGAATATAGATGTATTTATTTATTTAGAAACAGAGTCTCTCTCTGTCTCCCAGGCTGCAGTGCAGTGGCATGATCTCGGCTCAGTGCAACCTCTGCCTCCTGGCTTTAAGTGCTTCTCCTGCCTCAGCCTCCCAAGTAGCTAGGACTACAGGTGCATGCCGGCATGCTTGGCTAATTTTTCTTGTCTGTTTAGTAAAGATGAATTTCCCGCATGTTGGCCAGGCTGATCTCGAGTCCCTGATCTTAAATGATCCACCTTTCTTGGCCTCTCAAAGCGCCAAGATTACAACCGTGAACCACCACACCCAGCATATAAAGGTATTTATGACCACTAGATTTTACTTTTAAAAATGGTAAAGTTGGTAAATTATATAGTTACATTTAACCTCAATAAATATTTTTGAAAATGAAAAGAAAAGAGTGTAGGGGTTGCTGGTGATGACATCTCTCTGTGTGGGTGAGAGGCCAGGATGGGCTTCTGGGAAATGGGTAAGGTTGAGGGGCTGAGGGAACCTCTGATCTCCCCAAACTGAGCCCAGTCTCCCCTTCTCTGGGTCTGTCCTGACCGCTTTCTCCATCTGCCTGGGTGCCTGGAGCCCTGACCATGGGCCTCCATGCAGGCCATGCAAGAGGGTTTGGAGGTGCCCTGTCTGCCATCCTGCACCCTGACCCCCCCCTCACACCCAGTCTTCGTGTTCTCTCTGCATCTGTCCGTGCTTCTCCCCATCATCGGCAGGAAGCTCCTCAGCTATGGCTCTAGGATCATAAGACATGGGACAGACACGGGTTTTCCTCACCTGTGACAGAAACAAGCAGTGGGTCACTTGAGTTTGACCACACGCAGGGCAGGGCATGGAAAGAGCCGAAGCATCTGTAGGTCCCTCCGTGGGTGGCAGGGCCCAGAGGAAAGTCTGCCTGGAATGTTCTGTTGACCTTGGGCACTGCACGGAGCCTACGTTCATGGGCCTCCCCTTCCCTGGACAGATGGTAGATGTCATAGGAGCTCCAGGAGCTACAGGACAAGGTCACGTTCTCTCCTGCCTGAACCGTGGGGCCCGGCTGGGCTGAGAGAGAAGGTTTCTCATATAGACCTGGAAGGAGAAGAGGCAGTTTCCTCAGGGAGGTTCTTCCTTGTCACAGCTCCCCTCATACCTGAGCTGAGAACTCACTCCCCTGCTCTATGACCTAATGCTCTCTCTCTCTCTCACCCTCCACCCCAACTCTCTTCATGTCTATTTCCTCCTTCCGCCTTCTCTGTCTCTCTAGGTCTCTGACCTCACTTCCCCACCCCTGGGTATGCTTTCCCTTTTTGGATTGTTTTATTCTCTCTGACTCTCCTTGGATTGGTTGACTTGATCTTCCTTTTTCTATAATTCTGAGTCTCTCACTTTCTGTCTTGTTCATAACTTTCTGCATATTTCTATCTATTATCTATCTATCTATTTTGTGTCTATCTACAAATTATCTGTCATCTATATCTATGTATCATTTATCTATCAATTGTCTATCTGTCTATCCATCAATCATCTATGTATTATCTGTATCTATGTATCATCTCTCTCTCTCTCTATTACCTCTCTGTCTGCCTGTCAGTCTCTATGTATCATCTATGTATCTATATATTTATATATGTGTCTTCTATCTATCTATCTTCATCATCATCATCATCATCATCTCTATGTATCATCTATCAATCATCATCTATGTATCTATAACCTATCCATTATCTATCATCTACCTATTTATCATCTATCTATATCTATCTATCCATCTATCATCTGTCTCTCTCCATCTCCTTGTCTTTCTCTGCCTCTCAGTCTCTCTAGTTCTATTTGGAATCTCTGCAATCCATCCCCACATCTTTATCTTTCTCTGTCTTTGTGCCCCTCCCTCAGGGTTCTGATTTTGGGGCTTTTCTCTCCTCCCTTCCAGCATTCTCTCCACTCCTCTGCCCTCTTTTCTTTCTTTTTGTGTGTCTGTGAGTCTCTCAATCCCCTTCCTCTGGCTCATTCTCTGTGTGTTTATGCCTTTGCTTTTTGAAGTCCCTGATTTATCTCTGTGTCTCTCAGTGATCCTATTATATGTAGGATTATTTGGAATATGAGCCTCAGAATCTAGTCTGGGGACACCAAGTACACACAGTATTTAGGGGTTGGTGTTCTGGGGCCATGATATCCTGGGATAATTATGGCTCCACTGCATGGAAGGCAGAGGTGTCAGAATAAACATGGCATCTGTAGATGCCACAAGGCCTGAGGCCACAGGGCCCAACTCAGGTCAGAAATATGGGTGTCCTTGGGTTCTCCTCGTAGAAGCACTTTGTGGAGACAAAACAGAAATGAAACTTCTAACCTGTGCCAGGTCTCTGAGCAAAGTCAGCATGGAAGGACACTTCTCTCTGGCACATGTCTGTCTGTCTGAGTGTCTCCTTTACCTCTTTCTCTCTTTTCTACTTCCCCGTATGGCCCCTGTGTCTGTCCTCTGTTATGACACCTGGTCTGTACTTATGTCTCCTGTTTCCCTGTCTCTGTTGGTACAGACCTCACCGAGTCAGTCTCTCTCCATAAGAATCCCACGCTTATCTTCCTCATGACCACCTGGGGGTTCCAAGTCCTGGATCATTCACTCTGTGTCCCAATGACAATGAGAAGAATGTCTGGACACTCTCACCTGTGATCACGATGTCCAGGGGGTCACTGGGAGCTGACAACTGATAGGGGGAGTGAGGAACAGAACCATAACATCTGTAGGTTCCTGCAAGGACAGGCATCAAGGGACCGATGGAGAAGTTGGCCTTGGAGACCCCATCATGGATCTGTCCAACGAGGCGTGAGGGGTCCTCAGAGATCCCCTCTCTGTGCAGAAAGAAATGCTCAAACATGACATCTGACCAACATTGCAGGATGACTGTCTCTCCTGATTTCAGCAGGGGCCCTGGGTGGGCCAGGAGGGAAGGTTTTCTGTGGTTTCCTAGAAAGAGAAGTTGTGAGTTTAGAAGGCATCTCTCTTTATCATCCCATCCATGGCACCTGGAATGAGTGAGGGTTCCCCTCCCAGAGGTCTGTCTCTCTCCTCCCTCTCTGTGTCTCCGTGTCTTTTCTGTGCCCATATCCCCTGGTGCAGGTCCCTCCATTTGTCTTCCTCCCTCTTCTCTGTCCCTCTGTCTCCAGTAGCCCCTGACTCCCTTCCCACTGTGAAGAGAGCCTCATCTCTTGGGCTGTTGTATCTCTTTCCCACTAGTCTCTTTCCTGCTGTCTATGTGGGGGTGGAAGAGGACAGGCTGCATGTCCAGGCTCTCAGCAGCCTGAATCAATCTCTTTTGAACAAATTGGAGTCTCTGGCAGAGGTATCAACTCATCAGTAAGGCAGACATCAGTGTCCACACACCCTGTTCCTGATGGGGATTGGGAGCCTCTCCTGCCATGTCTGTGCCTTCTCCATGGCCCCAGCTTCCATAGGGTGGTCCCTGGTGCTGGTTCCAGGAGCATCAACCCCTTCCTATGTGGATGGAGCCTGGTGGTGGCATCAGCATCCCACCCTTGCTGATCCCACGGTAGCCAACCTTCTCCTTGTTTGGTTTCTTTAATTAATTGATTAATTAATTTATTTTTGAGACAGTCACTTTTTCACCCAGGCTGGAGTGCAGTGGTGTTGTCTTGGCTCACTGCAACCTCTGCCTCCCCGGTTCAAGTGATTATCTTGCCTCAGCCTCCCCAGTCGTTGGATTACTCGTGCCCACCACCACACCTGGCTATCCTTGTTTGGTTTCCTAGCTTGTCCTTGACCTGGGTTCCTGTGTCGGTTTCCTGTTGCTGCTGCAGAAAATTATCACAAACATGGCAGCAGGAGAGAACACACTGACCCCTTCCACTTCTGGGGACAGAAATTGGATCCAGTTCTCCCTGTGCTGAAATCAAGGCATCTGCAGGGCTGCGTTCCCTCTGGAGACTCAGCGAATCAGTTCTCTTGACTTCTCCAGCCCTTAGAGGCCACCTGCATTCTGTGACTAGTGGCCTTCCTCCACCTTCAAAGCCCACAGTGGCTGATAGCGTCTCCCTCCCACTACACTGCTCTAATCCCCACTCCCCTCTTCCTCCACCTCTCACGCGGACCCTTGTGATTACACTGAGCCCAGCAGGACAGTCCAGGCTGTCTCCCCATCTCAAGGTCAACTCATCAACAACCTGAGCTCCACCTTCCCCTTCAGTCCCCTGCCCTATAACATAAATAGTCACAGGCTCCAGGGATTACAATGTAGCCATCATTGGCGACAGTGATTCTTCCCACCACAGCGCCCATTTCCCCTGTATTCAATCCCCCTTGACCCCAAATACAGTTGGGGCCTGGGTGATGGGACCCTGATGGACACCCCCACCAGAAGCTCTGGGATTCAGGAGGTGGGACAGTGAGAAGCCCAGACAGAAAGCCTCTGACCTGTGACCATGATCACCAGGGGGTTGCTGGGTGCCGACCACCCAGTGAGGGAGTGTGGGCGTGAACCCCGACATCTGTAGGTCCCTGCATGTGCTGGGGTCACAGGGCCCATGATGAAGCTCTCCTGGAATATTCTGCCGTGGAAGATGGGAACGTGGCTTCTGTCTTCTTTGTACAGCATGAAATTGTTAAACCCACGACGATAGTGACACTGAAGAGCCACGTGTCCTCCTCGAGGCACCACAGTGCTGGGCCGGGCAGACAGGAAGGGTTTGTCCTGACCACCTGGGGGAGAAGGAGGCACTGCCTTAGAGAGGAGGATGTGGAGCCACCCCTCCCTCCCTGTGCTCAGAAGATTCTCCCATTTCCGCTTTCTAAGGCTCCTACCACACCTGGGTGCCCAGGGCTACAGGAAGGACCCACCCCACATAGACATGGCGTCTCCCTACAACAAGTGTCAGCTGAGAACTTTGAGCAAGTGCTGAATAAGTGACTCTTACTAGATTTTAATACTGCAAAATTACTCACATAAAACAACACAAAGTAGACACGGCATGGAGGGCATGTCCTATGTGAATGGAATATCAGCCAATTCATGAACTGAGCCCCCTCAGAGGATTTGGAATGTCAGGGCCATGGCTGTGGTTTCCCCCCTCTTCTGGTAGAAAGACCGCAGCCACACTGCAGCCCCTACCGTCACGGAAACGCTGGAGGGTGTCAGTTATACCTTTGTCCTCAGAGGACCTGCTGTTCCTAGCACTGCTTCCCTCTCTTTCTCTGCTGCTGACACCACTTCCTCCCTGCACACCCCAGCTTGGAGCACCCCAGTCTCACCCCAGTCTTCACAGAGCTTGACTCAGGAAAGGGAAAGAAAGGCCAGGGAGGGCGAGGTCAGAAATGTGGGCCGAGTATCCAAGGGTCCCCTCTTCCTAGTTTATGAGAGACTCCCCGACAGGACTTCCCTCCTGTTTCAGAAAAATCCTCTTATGTGGGGAGATGACACCCTAAGGTTTGGGGACGGACTCACCCATGAGTGGCCAGGCCCCCTGCAGCAAGAAGAACCCTGGAAAGAAAGATCATGATAGACGATCCAACTGCAGGCAAACCAGGGCACCCTGCTGCCCCCACTGCACTGTGTGTCTTGGCAGCCAGGCCCTTGCTGGGCTGAAGGTAAACTTAGCCTCCCTGCTACCTGCTGCCAAGAACAGGGCTCTCAGCTGTGGAGAGACCCAGGCTCCAGGCCCAGATCAACACTTCCTGGCCCAGATCTCCACTCCAGGCCCATATCTCCACTCCAGGCCCCTATCTCCACTCCAGGCCCATATCTCCACTCCAGGCCCATATCTCCACATCAGACCCATATCTCCACTCCAGGCCCAGATCTCCCCTCTAGGCCCATATCTCCACTCCAGGCCCATATCTCCACTCCAGGCCCATATCTCCACATCAGACCCATATCTCCACTCCAGGCCCATATCTCCACTCCAGGCCCAGATCTCCACCTGCAGGCCCATATCTCCACTCCAGGCCCATATCTCCACTCCAGGCCCGTATCTCCACTCCAGGCCCATATCTCCACACCCAGGCCCATATCTCCCCTCCAGGCCCATATCTCCACTCCAGGCCCATATTTACACCTCCAGGCCCATATCTCCACACCCAGGCCCATATCTCCACTCCAGGCCCATATCTCCACTCCAGGCCCATATCTTTACCTCTAGGCCGAGATCTCCATCCCCACTCTCCCTCCCTCTATTCCCTTCCAGGACTCACCAACGCACGCCATGCTGACGACCGTGAGCGACATGGTGCTGCCGGTGCAGACAGGAGGCCGCGCCCCAGCTCAGCTCAGCAGCGCACAGGATGTTATTTGGCGCCCTGCCCATGCAGTTTACATGTTGACCACATCATGGGAGGGTGACGTACGCAGGCTCTTTCTACCTTGCATGAGGCCCAGTGGGTGCTCGCTCAAGAGCGGAACATGGCTTCCTGGAAATTGTTGTGACTACAATTGCCACCTTGCATCCTTCACTATGACCAGACTCAAAAGACGTCTCAGATCCAACCTCTCACACATGAGGTGATTGAATTCTGTGCTTACATTAAAGACTTTTGATGTATTTTTGTTTTTATCTGAGATTCAAACTTTTCTTCATGTGTAATGTGCAAAATATCTAAGAGGTATTATTAACATTATCAGAGTAATTGTGACAAAAAGCCATTCTAATTTTCCTGATGAGTTTCTAGTACTAAACCTGAGGCACGAGAATTGCTTGAACCTGGGAGGCGGAGGCTGCAGTGAGCTGAGCTCAAGCCACTGAACTCCAGCTTGGGTGACAGAGGAAGAGTCTGTCTCAAGAAAGAAAAAAAAAAGCAAACTAAATAACCTATAATAACAAATCAGAGAACTCAGGTTACCAAATTTTAAGGGGTTCTATAAGTTTATATGAAATGCAGCATCCTCATGAGAGGGGATACAGAGAACCACTGGGCAGAAAACTGTGTCTAAAATACATCTGTGGATACACAGTCCCTTTATAGTTGACAAAGGCTGCCATGTAGTTTAAGGTGGAATAGAATATTTTCTCAACAAATAACACAGGACCATAGGGTTACACGTAGGAAAAAATAAATCTAAACTTATCCTCACACTATAAAGACACTTCTTATTTTTTATCTTGTTGTTGTAAACTTTTTATGCTTTATTTTTAAGATTGACAAATAAAAATTATATACTGTGGTCCTTCACTATTCCTGGGTGATTGGTTCCAGGATCCCCATTCAGATACCAAAATCTGCAGATGCTCAAGCCCCTTGCATGAAATGGCATAGCGAAGCTGGGCACCGTGGCTCACGCCTGTAATCCCAGCACTTTGGGAGGCTGAGTTGGGTAGATCACGAGGTCAGGAGTTCAAGACCAGCTGGTCCAACATTCTGAAACCCCGTCTCTACTAAAAATACACACACAAAAAAATTTATCTGTGCATGGTGGCACGTGCCTGTAATCCTAGGGGAGGCTACTGGGGAGGCTGAGGGAAGACAATCGCTTGAACCTGGGAGGCGGAGGTTGCAGTGAGCTGAGATCCTGCCACTGCACTCCAGCCTGGGTGAGAGAGTGAGACTGTCTCAAAAAAAAAAAAAAAAATAGCATAGCAATTGCATAGAACCCATGCACATCCTCCTGTATACATGAAATCATCCCTTGATTACTTATAATTCCTGACACAGCCTACACGCCACTCAATTTGTGTCGATTCAACATAGTTTTTTGCTTCTTGAAACTTCGGGGATTTTTTTCTGAAAATATTTTTGATTTATTGTTGGTTCAATAAACACCTGTAAACCCCACAGATATGGAGGACCGACTGTATATTTATATTATGAAAGATGATATGTTGATATGTGTCCCCGTGGAGATGAGACTAACAAGGCCTATGACTCTACAAATGTTTCATCGTGGAATGACTCTGCCAGCTTTCCAGGTCTGCAGAGAGTAAGAATATCACTTGTTCATGTGATTCACGATCCTTGGAGCCTCCTATGTGCTGTATCTTTGGATGGAAATTGGAGTCTCAGAGACAAATCAGGCTCCATTCTGCTTCCAGAAGCTCAGAGTCCAGGGCTGAGAACCCAATGGAGAACAGATGGGGTTATGTGGACATGGTAATGATAACACCGGAAGCCTTAGGCAAGAAAAGAGTCTCGTTACCGAAACCATGAGGGCAGACATGTTTATTTGAAGGCGGGAAAACTACATTGAAATTATTTAAAAAATTTATAAGTTTTACTGCTGGCAGAAGGCTGAAAGATAGTCTGAAGGGAGGTGGAACAGCACGTGTCTAAGTGCTGTGTTAAGAGGCAGCCTCTTGTATGTTTGGAATTGTGAGTTCCTCAGTGTGATTGCAGCCTCAGGTAGACTAGGAAGTAAGCCAGTTAGGTTGGAGAGGTGGGCAGGGGTCAAGTGAAATGGAGAATTGTGGGCTAAGCAAAGGAGTGTGTTTTCTCTCCAGCAGGCAGTGGGGACCTTAGACATTTGTAAGCAAGAGAGAGGCATGTTCAGATTCGTGGTGTGAGGAAGAGCGATGCCCTAAGATGAAGACTGATGCCTTCAGATTCCAGCTGCTGGTACATGGGAGCTGGCAACCCGGTTTTGAGACAGGGCTGTTGTCTCCCTAGAAGATCCCCTCAAGGCCTGACTGTGGTGCTCGTGGACAGAAGACAACTTTGGATCTGGGCTCAGCATTTGGAAGTTCTATGTACATGCTGGTATCTGTTGGGGGTGTCTTGGGCCTCTCAGAAGGGCGAGTGATTTTTCTCTGTGTGAAAGCACAGTGATCCAATTATGCGTATGACACCTCCTGATGGTCTTGTTCATCAGAATCCTGGAGAGAGGGAAATGCTGAGTGAGGGAGGGTGCTCACATTTTTCAGGACTCTTTGGGAATAAGACTAGCCACGAGGCTGGGCCGAGGAGCACCTACCTCGCTGTTCACTGTTCTGTTCCCTGCAGGCTCTTGGTCCATTACAGCAGCATCTGTAGAAGACGGAAGTCAACAAAAGAGCTCGGAGGGCACTTCTGGGTCCTCATTTCATAAGCAGATACCAACAAACAGGGGGAGGCCATAGGTGCCTGAGGTCCCTCAGTTGCCAACAGCAGACTCAGACATTCTATCTCTCTGAGTTCAAGGACCCATCCCATGAATAGCTCTGAGGTCCCATCCCATTGATTCTATCTCCCACTTTCTGCCTGTCATGGAACCTTCTCCTGGATGTGAGTGGCTGCAGGGGACATGAGGATACAGTTCAGAATCAGGCAATGGTCTGTGAGCTGAAGGCAGGGGAAGGGAATCTGGTGCTCTCTCTAGAAAGTCCTGCCTCTGTGGCTCCTGTCTTGGGCCAGGGACCATCCTGCTGGTGAGGAACACACATCCGCGTGCTCCCATCCTGCTTCCCCACATGGCCCTGAGCTCTCTGGCCTCTGCTTCGTGAGACTTACTTTTTTTGTCGGAGCACCAGCGATGAAGGAGAAAGAAGAGGAGGATGGTGAAAGGGATTTTGACCACTGAGGTCCCAATCAGAACATGTAGGTGTCTGGGGTTACCTGGAAGAAGAGGAGACACCAATAAGAAGCTAATCATAGCAGTTCCTCTTTATGAATTGTCTCGCATTTCTTGATTGGCAGGTAACCACATACAACGTCTCTTTAGGACAAGCACCCAAATGGCGGGAGACCTAGCTTTCCCCTGCTTTCTCAATTATAGCTCTCATAGTAACCATAGAACGTGCTGAGGATACAACTACTTTAGTTGAGATGTTTGACCCTTTCAAACCTCACATTGAAATTTCACCCCCATTGTGGGAGGTTGGGCCTCTTCAGAGGTGTTTGGGTCATGGAGGTGGATCCATCATGAACAGATCAATGCTGTCCCAAGGAGACGGGGTTAGCAAGTTCCCCCTCTGTTAGTTCCTGGAGAGCTGGTTGTTAAAAAGAGCTTGGAAGCTCCATCGCTCCCTCTCCCCCTTACTCTCTCTCTTGCCGTGTGATCTCTGCGGTCTCTGCACAGACAGACCCTCCTTCCCTTCTGCCAGAGTGGGAGCAGCCTGAGGCCGTCACGAGAAATAGATTCTGGTGCCATGCTTCCAGTACAGCCTGCAGAACTGTGAGGCAAACCAATCTCTTTTCTTTAGAAGTTACCCAGGCTCAAGTGTTCCTTTAGAGCAACAAAAATGGACTAAGATAGCAACATCCTGAGATCAGGAGGAATGTCTCAGAACAGCCTGGGCTGTCTTCCTGTTCTTCCTGGAGGAGGACGTCATGCAGTGCTTTAGCTGAGTGCTTCCTGTGGCTCCAGGGTACAAAACCCAGGCTGGGCTGCTTTCTGGCTTCCCCCAGCTACACTGCAAATGGGGTGACTCCATATGTCCCGAGCAGCTTTTCTGAGCCTTGAGGGACTGGCTCACATTGAAATGCAGGCTTCTGTTGTCACTCGCTGCTTATCTGTTAGTAATGAACCTGCCTATGTAACGTATTCTCTGTGTGTTCTGTCTCCCTGGAGTGACGGTGAGTGATAGGAATTGGCATAGGCCCAGGTGCAGTCCAGGATTTGTTTAGAGTCTTCTCTGGGAAGACTGCACTGGGATTGATACACAGCGAATGTACTTTAGGATTTCTACATCCACAGCATTCTTGAGTCAAACAAATTGCATTCACCAAGGAAAGGAAACAAAGGTGAAATCACGATTAAAAATAGCGAAGCAAGATTCTCTTATGTCAAACAGCCAGGAAATAGTGTTGAAGCCCGTGTGAAATGTGCTACTCTTTGTGATCTCGGGAGACACATGTTAGGCTGCTGTTCTACCCGAGAGGCTGGGGGAAGGACCACCCCCTCGACCATCTATTGCTTCAATACCACCTGTCCTCCTGTGAATTAGTAGGAAAGGGGAACAGGAGCTAGTGCTGTCGCTGATCTCTGATTCCAAGATCTGGACTCACTCCAAGGAGTATTAATGTTTCCTCCCCATGGTCTATCTGAATCTCCACAGGTGATTGGAAGTAGGGGTGAGGTGGGGGATTTGGGTGAGTGGGCAAGTTTTTTTTTGCGATGACCAGAGCACTTTCTCTATTCCAGGATCCGTGCTGGAGGATTCAGCGGGCTTTCACATTTTCTATGTGATCTCATGCTCACAGAAAGCCAAATAGGGAAGAGGTTTTAGGCTCATTGCCTAATGGATAAGATAAAGGATCAAAGAAGTAATTATAGAGAAATAGAAAAATGATGATTGGAATTCAGGTGCCTTTGTCATTCGTGTGTGTTTTATTATATTTATGCATTTCTTATTTTTATTTTTTGAGACGGAGTCTCCTTGTGTCACCCAGGCTGGAGTGCAGTGATGCAATCTCCACTCACTGCAACCTCCACCTCCTGGGTTGAAGTCATTCTCCTGCTTCATCCTCCAGAGTAGGAGCTGGGATTACAGGGATGCACCACCATGCTCGGCTAATTTTTGTATTTTTAGTACAGATAGGGTTTCACCATGTTGGCCAGGCTGGTCTGGAACTCCTGACTTCATGGAATCCACCCGCCTTGGCCTCCTGCAGGGCTGGGTTACAAGCATGAGCCACCGTTCACAGACTTGTATATTATGCTATAATAGGTCCCTTCATTTCCACCACCCCTCATATATCTGTCACTCCTTTGCCAGGTATTGATTTATGTGTAGGATGAATAAATCTCAGAAAGAAATTAATTAAGCGAGGATTAAACAAGTAGGAAAATCAAACCCAGCAAGCCTTTCCAGCCAATGATTCTACCTCACAAGCATATCTTATATCCATCTACTTCATTCATTTAGTGTCTAAATCAGCACCACATTTCACCAGTGGGGCGGCAATTGCCTTTTCCACAGTCTCCTAGATTCCAGTTACGCACCTGGGCCTCCCTTATTTTCTTGTCAGTCACTATTAATCATGTAGGGATTCCTGGTTACCCCGAGGTGAATCCAAGGGCTGTGAGTGTCAAACACACACTCCTTGTTCCTCCTTAGTTTCCTGTGTACCCAGAGTGCTCTCCATCTCTCTACAGTCATCTTGTCATTCTCCCCACCTCATTCCCAGCATTTCAGGCAGAGCCTCTTCCTTCAACATCAGATTGTTTTCACCTTTGTGCCTTCACAGCTGACAGCTGTGTGGAAAATCCTTCCGCCAATCTTTCAGGGGTTCAATCCGTGTTTTTCATTAATGTCACAAATATCTGATTAGTGAGACCTTCTCTGTCACCCAAAATTATACACTCAGCATTATCTATTATTTATTTTGAATTCTGGCTGGGCAAAGTGGCTCACGCCTGTAATCCCAGTACTTTGGGTTGCTGAGATGGTCGGATCACTTGAGGTTGGGAGTTTCAGACAAGCTTGGCCAACATGGTGAAACATCCTCTCTACAAAAAATATACAAAAAGAATTAGCCGGGCATGGTGGCAGTTGCCTGTAATCCCAGCTACTCGAGAGGGTGAGGCAGGAGAATCACTTGGATCCAGGAGACGCAGGTTGCAGTGAGCCAAGATCGTGACACTGCACTGTAGCCTGGAAGACAGAGGGAGACTCTGTCTCAATAAACAAACGAACAAACAAACAAATAGATTTCATGCACAGATGCTTCCCAATGGATCATTCATTTATTGGTCCACTTGTGCATTCATTTTCTGTCCTCCCATTTAACCATCTGCAATATCAGTGTCCCAAGAGCAGAGGCCAAATGCATCTTGTTCACCATTTGTGGAAGGCAGGAGAATGCTGTCCCACCCCAAAATGTCCCTGTCCTAGCCTCCATAGCTTGTGAATATGTTATTTTACATGGAAAGGAGGAATGAAGATTGCAGATGGAATTATGGTTGCTAATCAGCTGAACTTAAAACAAGGGTATCCTGAATGATTTCCGGGAGATTATGACGGATTTTCATCTTGGTGAACCCAATAGAATCCCCAAGTTTTCAAAAGATGAGGAAGAAGGGAGAGCAGCATTCAGAGAAAGAGGTGTGGTAAGGAAGAAGGGTCTGAGTGATGCCATGTGAGATGTGACCAGTCTTTGTGGGTTTTGAGGAAGGAGGAAAGGGACCAGCAGCCAAGGAACTGGGAGCCTTTATAAGATGGGACAAGTGAGAAGCAGATTCTTGCCTGGAATCCTCAGAGGGAAGGCAGGCTTGCTGTCATCTTGATTTTAGCCCAGTGAGATGCACTTCATGCTTTGAGCTAGAGCACTGTAAGATAATTAAATAACCGTTTTGTTTTCACCCACGAATCTTGTGGAAATTTGTTATGGCAACAATAGGAAAAGCTTCCACACTGCACAACCTGAGCATGGGGCCGTGGCTGAATAAGTCAGTGAGTCAAAGTGTGCGTGCATGAGCTCTGTTCTCTGTTACGGCAAGGCTCTTGCTCTGCTGAGTCAGCCAGGGTTGTTTCATGACCAACAGGAGCTCATTCCTTGGCAAGTGGAACTTCTCTAAAACACCTCGCCCTCATCAGATGTTCGCTTCCCTTCCCTCTCTCAAGCCCCCAGGAATTTATCCTCCAGTTAGGAATGCAAGCAGAACAAACATTGCGTTTTTCCTGAGAAGGATGTCAGATTGGCAATCATTCTTCTAGCTTGTAGGAGGTCTCAGCTCCATAAAATGAGAGATGAAGAGATTTCACTGAGCCCTGTGTTGGGCCCAGATCCCTTTCGCTGTTGGAGTATCTGGAGTTCGGAGATGGTAGAAGACAGGCGTACAATGTCAGAGCTGTGAGATGCTGAGTCAACGCCTGAATCCAAGGTTTCCACCTCCCCAGGGTTCCAAAAGCGGATATAAGAGGGTCCTGTACTCACCGGTTTTGGAGCTTGGTTCAGTGGGTGAAGGCCAACTATTTGAAGGGTTTCCTAGAACATGAGACAGGAGAGAGGTGAGGAAATGAGGGTGTCTGTCCTCTACTCAGTGGAAATCTTTGAGTTTGGTTCATGGCCAACACTCTGTTATCTAACATTGGGCCCTGGGAGTCCAGGGATCCTTTCTTCCATAATTTTTGTATGTGACGCCCACTGTCTTGAGACTTCAAGGTATAAAGAGAAAACAGGAGCATCACACTACCTGATCTCAAAATATGTTACAGAGCTGTAGTAAGCAAAACAGCATGATGTTGGCATGAAGAAAGGCACATAGAACAACGGAGCAGAATGAAGAACACAGATATAATCCATGCATTTACATCCAATTTTTTTTATTTTTTCTTTTGAGATGGAGTCTCGCTCTGTCACCCAGGCTGGAGTGCAGAGGTGCAATCTCGGTTCACTGCAACCTCAGCCTCCTGGGTTCAATCAATTCTCTTGCCTCAAACTCCTGAGTAGTAGTATTACAGGTGCTGACCACCATGCTCAGCTAATTTTTATATTTTTAGTGGAGACGATGTTTCATCACGTCGGCCAGAGTAATCTTGTACTCCTGTCCTCAGGTGATCCACCAGCCTTGGCCTCCCAAAGTGCTGAAGTTGCTGGTGTTAGCCACCATGCCCAGCCCATCCAATGGACTTTGACAAAGGTGCCAAGAACTCACAATCAGGAAAGGACAGTTTTTTCAATAAACAGTGCAGGGAAACCTGGACATCTACATGCAGAGGAATGAAACTGCACCTCTACCTGTCACCATACACAAAAATCAAATGAAAGTGGATTAAAGATGTGAGTCTAAGGCCTGAACCTGTGAAACACGTAGAAGAAAATATTGGGGAAATGCTCCAGTACATTTGTCTGAAGGAAGACATTTTGTTTTAAACCTTCAAAACACAAGTAATCGAAGCAAAAATAGACCATTGGGATTACCTCAAACTAAGCAACTTCTGCACCGCTAAAAATAAACCAACAAAGTGAAGAGACAACCCACAGATTGGGAGCAAATATGTGCAAACTATGCATCTGAGACGGGATTAATAACTAGAAGTATAAGAAGCTCAAACAACTCAATAAAACAAATGATTTAATTGAAAAAGGAGCAAAAGACATGAAATTTCCCCACATACGAAAAAGTGCTCAGTATCACTCATCATCAGAGAAACGCGAATTAAAATCAAAGTGAGTTTTCATCTCACCCCATTAAAATGGCTTTTAGGCCGGGCGAGGTGGCTCACGTCTGTCATCCTAGAACTCTGAGAGCCCGAGGTGGGCGAATCTCATAAGGTCGGGAGTTTGAGACCAGTCTGACCCACATGGAGAAACGCTGTCTCTACTAAAAATACAAAAATTAGTCGGGCGTGGTGGCGTGTGCCTGTAATTCCAGCTACTCGGGAGGCTGAGGCAGGAGAATCGCTTGAACCTGGGAGGTGGAGGTTGCGGTGAGCCGAGATCGCACCACTGCACTCCAGCCTGGGTGACAAGAGCGAAACTCCATCTCAAAATAAAATGAAATAAAATAAAATGGCTTTTAGCTGCAAGACAGGCAAAACAAATGCTGGCAAGGTGGTAGAGAAAGGAGAACCCTGGTACCCTGTTGGTAGGAGTGTAAATTAGTACAGCCATTACGGAGAAAAGTATGGAAGTCCTTTAAAGAACTAAAAAGAGGTTGGATGAAGTGGATCATGCCTGTAATCCCGGCACTTTGGGAGACCGAGGCGGGCACCTCAGTTGAGGTCATGAGTTTGAGAGCAGCCTAGCCAACCTGGGGAAACCCCATGTACACTAAAAAAAACCAAAAAGTATCCCGGCATGGTGGCGTGCACCTGTAATCCCAGCTACTAGGGAGGCTGAGGCAGGAAAATCATTTGAACCCAGGAGGCGGAGGTTGCAATGAGCCAAGATCACATCACTTGTACTCCAGCCTGGGCACAGAGGGAAACTGTCTCAAAAACAAAAACAAAACAACAAACGAAAAACTAAAAAGAGAACTTTCATAGTATCCAGCAATTTCACTACTGGGTTTATATCCAAAGGAAAGTAAATCAATGTATCGAAGTGATATCTGCACTCGTATGATTGGTGCAGCACTCTTCACAGTAGCCAAGATGTGGAGTCAACCTACCTGCCCATCAGTGGATGAATGGATAGAGAGAATGTAGTACATACGCACAGCGGAGACTACTCATCCATAGAAAGAATAACATCCTGATATTTGCAGCCACATGGATGGAACTGGAAGTCATTACAAATATTCTCATTTCTCACCCATATACAGGAGCTAAAAGGTGGATCTCATGAAGATAGAGAGTAGAATGGTGGCTACCAGAGGCCAGGAAGAAAAGGGTGGAGGATAAAACAAACAAACAAAAAATTTATATGTATGTATTTATGACCACTAGACCTTACACTTAAAATTGGTAAACGTGGCCGGGCGCGGTGGCTCATGCCTGTAATCCCAGCACTTTGGGAGCCTGAGGCGGGTGGATCACGTGGTCAGGAGTTCCAGAGCAGCTCGACCAACATGGTGAAACCCCCTCTCTACTAAAAATACAAAAAGTAGCCCGGCGTGGTGATGGGCGCCTGTAGTACCAGCTACTCAGGTGGCTGAGGCAGGAGAATCGCTTGAACCCAGGAGGCGGAGGTTACAGTGAGCTGAGATTGTGCCACTGCATTCCAGCATAGGAGACAGAGCTAGACTCCACCTCAAAAAAAAAAAATGTTAAAAGTGGTAAGCTATATAGGTATATTTAACCTCAATGAATATTTTTTCAAACAAAAAGAAAAGGATGTAGGGGTTGCTGGTGATGACATCTCTGTGTGGGTGAGAGGCCAGGAAGGGCTTCTGGGAAATGGGTAAGGTTGAGGGGCTGAGGGAACCTCTGATCTCCCCAAACTGAGCCCAGTCTCCCCTTCTCTGGGTCTCTCCTGACCGCTTTCTACATCTGCCTGGGTTTCTGGAGCCCTAATCGGAGGCCTCCATGCAGGCCATGCAGGAGGGTTTGGAGGTGCTGTGTGTGCCATCCTGCGCCCTGATCCCTCCCTCACAGGCATGCTGCGTCTTCTCTCTGCATCTGTCCATGCTTCTCTCCATCATCAGCAGGAAGCTCCTCAGCTAAGGCTCTAGGATCATAGGACATGGGACAGATATGGGGTTTCCTCACCTGTGACGGAAACAAGCAGTGGATCACTCGAGTTTGACCACTCGTAGGGAGCGTCACGGAAAGAGCCGAAGCATCTGTAGGTCCCTCCGTGGGTGGCAGGGCCCAGAGGAAAGTCGGCCTGGAATGTTCCGTTGATGCTGCGCACTGCAGGGAGCCTACGTTCATGGGCCTCCCCTTCCCTGGATAGATGGAGCTGCAGGACAAGGTCACATTCTCTCCTGCCTGAACCGTGGGGCCCGGCTGGGCTGAGAGAGAAGGTTTCTCATATAGACCTGGAAGGAGAAGGGGCAGTTTCCTCAGGGGGGATCTTCCTTGTCACAGCTCCCCTCACACCTGACCTGAGAACTCACTCCCCTGCTCTATGGCCTAATGCTCTCTTTCTCTGTCTCACCCTCCACCCTATCTCTCTTCATGTCTATTTCCTCCTTCCACCTTCTCTGTCTCTCTAGGTCTCTGACCTCACTTCCCCACCTCTAGATATGTTTTCTCTTTTTGGATTGTTTTATTCTCTCTGGCTCTCCTTGGATTGGTTGACTTGATGTTACTTTTTTTAACTCTGAGTTTCTCAGTTTGTGTCCCGTTCATAACTTTCTGCATATTTCTATCTATTATCTATCAATCCATCTATTTATCTATTCGGTGCCTATCTACAAATTCTCTACCTGTCATCTATATCTATATATCATCTATTTATCTATCAATTGTCTATCCGTCAATCATCTATTATCTATATATATGTATCATCTCTCTCTCTCTATTATTTCTCTCTTTGTCTTCCTCTCTATCTCTATGTATTATCTATCCATCTATCTTCATCATCATCATCTCTATGTATCATCTATTAATGAATCAATCAATCATCATCTATGTATCTATAACCTATTATCTATCATCTACCTATATATCATCTATCTATATCTATCCATCATCTATCTGTATCTATCCATCTATCATCTGTCTTGCTCTGCCTCTCGGTCTCTCTAGTTCTCTTTGGAATCTCTGCAATTCATCCCCACATCTCCATCTTTCTATGCCCTTGTGCCTCGCCCTCAGGACTCTAATTTTAGTGGTTTTCTCTGCTCTCTTCCATCATTCTCTCCACTTCTCTGCCCTCTTCTCTCTCTTTATGTGTCTGTGAGTCTCTCAATCTCCTTCCTCTGGCTCTTTCTCTGTGTGTTTATGTCTTTGCTTTTTGGTGTCCCTGATTTCTCTCTGTGCTTCTCAGTGATCCTCTCATATGTGATATGTGGGGTTATTTGGAATGTGAGCCTCAGAATCCAGTCTGGAGACCACAAGTTCACACAGCATACAGGGGTTGGTGTTCTGGGGCCATGATATTTTGGGACGATTATTCTCCATTGCATGGAAGTCAGAGGTGTCAGAATAAGCATGGCATCTGTAGGTGCCACAAGGCCTGAGGCCACAGGGCCCAACTCAGGTCAGAAATATGGGTGTCCTTGGGTTCTCCTGGTAGAGAACACTTTGTGGAGGTAAAACAGAAATGAAACTTCTAACCTGTGCCAGGTCTCTGAGCAAAGTCAGCATGGAAGGACACCTCTGTCTGGGACATGTCTGTCTGTCTCCTTTAACTCTTTCTGTCTTTTCTAACTCCCTGTATGGCCCCTGTGTTTGTCCTCTGTTATGACACCTGGTCTGTACTTGTGTCTCTTGTTTCTCTGTCTCTGTTGGCACAGACCTCACCAAGTCAGTCTCTCTCCATAAGAATACCAAGCTCATCTTCCTTACAACCACCTGGGTCTCCAAGTCCTGGATCATTCACTCTGCATCCCAATGACAATGAGAAGAATGTCTGGACACTCTCACCTATGATCACCATGTCCAGAGGGTCACTGGGAGCTGACAACTGATAGGGGGAGTGAGGAACAGAACCGTAGCATCTGTAGGTTCCTGCAAGGACAGGCATCATGGGACCAATGGAGAAGTTGGCCTTGGAAACCCCATCATGGTGCTCTCCAATGAGGTGCAAAGTGTTGTTAAACTTCCCCTCTCTGTGCAGAAGGAAGTGCTCAAACATGACATCCGACCAACATTGCAGGATGACTGTCTCTTCTGATTTCACCAGGTGACCTGGGAGGGCCAGGAAGGAAGGTTTTCTGTGGACTCCTAGGAAGAGAGGTTGTGAGTTTAGAAGGTGTCTCTCTTTATCATCCCATCCATGGCACCTGGAATGAGTGAGCCTTCCCTTCGCTGGTGTCTGTCTCTCTGCTTCCTCTCTGTGTCTTCATGTTCTTTTCTGTGCCCATAACTCCTGGTGCAGGTCCTTCCATCTGTCTCCCTCCCTCTTCTCTGTCCCTCTGTCTCTAGTAGCTGTGATTCCCTTCCCACTGGGCTCAGCCTCATCTCTTGGGCTGTTGTATCTATTTCACACTAATGTCTTTCTTACTGTCTATGTGGGAGTGGAAGAGGAAGCAGGATAGGCTGCACGTACCGGCTCTTAGCAGCCTGGTTCAATCTCTTTTGGACGAATTGGAATCCTTGGCAGGAGGTATGAACTGATCAGTAAGGCAGGCACCAGTGTCCACACACCCTGTTCCTGGTGGGGACTGGGAGCCACTCTTGCCATGTCTGTGCCTTCTCCATGGTGCCAGTTTCCATAGGCTGGCTCCTCGTGCTGATTTGAGGAGTATCAACCCCTCCCTATGTGGATGGAGCCTGGTGGTGGCATCATCATCCCACCCTTGCTGATCTCGGTGTAGCCAACCTTCTCTTTGTTTGGTTTCTTTAATTAATTAATTAATTTTGGAGACAGAGTCTCACTCCTTCACCCAGGCTGGAGTGAAGTGGTGTGGTCTACGCTCACTGCAACCTCTGTCTCCTGGGTTCAAGCGATTCTCCTGCTCTCAGCCTCCCGAGTCGCTAGGATTACATGCACCTGCCACCATGCCTGGCTATCCTTGTGTCTTTTCTTAACTTGTCCTTGACCTGGGTTCCAGTGTTGGTTTCCTGTTGCTGCTGTAGAAAATTATCAGAAGCATGGCAGCAGGAGAGAGCACACTGACCCCCTCCGATTCTGGAGACAGAAAGCGGACCCTGTTTTTCGAGGGCTAAAATCAAGGCATCTGCAGGGCTGTGTTCCCTCTGGAGACTCAGGAGAATCAGTTACTTGACTTTCCCAGCCTCTATAGGCCACCTGCATTCATGGCTTATGGCCTTCATCCACCTTCAAAGCTGATGGAGTCTCCCACTACGCTGCTCTAATCCCCACTCTCCTCTTCCTCCTCCTTTCATGTGGACACTTGTGATTATACTGAGCCCACCGGGACAGTCCAGGCTGTCTCCCCATCTCAAGGTCAACTCATCAACAACCTGAGCTCCATCTTCCCCTTCAGTCCCTTCCCCTATAACATAAATAGTCACAGACTCCAGGGATTAGAATGCAGTCATCACTGGGGACACTTATTCTTCCCACCACAGCACCCATTTCCCTGTATTCAATCCCCCTTTACCCCAAATACAGTTAGGGCCTGCGTGATGGGACCCTCAAGGACATGCCTACCAGAAGCTCTGGGATTCAGGAGGTGGGACAAGGAGAATCCCAGACAGGAGCCCTCTGACCTGTGACCATGATCACCAGGGGGTTGCTGGGTGCCGACCACCCACTGGGGGAGTGTGTGTGTGAACCCCGGCATCTATAGGTCCCTGCATGTGACGGGGTCACAGGGCCCATGAAAAGGCTTTTCCAGAATATTCTGTTGTACAGCTCAGGGACAGGCACCCCATCATCCTTGTACAGACTGAAGTTGTTAAACCCAAGATTAGAGTGACACTGAAGAGTCACATGTTCTGGAGGCACCACAAGGCTGGGCCAGGTAGAAAGCAAGGGCTTGTCCTGACCACCTGGGGGTGAAGGAGGCGCCGCCTTAGAGAGGAGGATGTGGAGCTGTGCCTCCCTCCCTGTGCTCAGAAGATTCTCCCCACTTTCCACATTTCTATGGCTGCTATCACACCTTGGTGCCTAGGGCTAAAGGAAGGACCCATCCCACAAAGACAAGGTGTCTCCGTACAACAAAAGTGTCAGCTGAGAACTTTGAGCAAGTGCTGAGTAAGAGACTCCTACTAGATTTTAATACTGTAAGATTACTGACATAAAACAACACAGGGTAGACATGAAGTGGAGGGCATGTCCTTTGAGAATGGAATATCAGCAGTTGCCTGAATGAAAATAAAAAACTTAGCCCCCATCAGAGGATTTGGAATGTCAGGGCCATGGCTGTGGTTTCCCACCTCTTCTGGTAGAATGACAGCAGCCACACTGCAGCCCCTACCGTCATGGAAACGCTGAAGTGTGTGAGTAACACCTTTGTCCTCAGAGGATCTGCTGTTCCTACCACTTCCCCACCACACAACCCAGCTTTGAACACCCTAGTCCAACCCTGGTCCCCACACAACTTGACTCTGCCAAGGGGTTGAGAGGCCAGGGAGGCAAGGTCGGAACTGTGGGCCGAGCACCCCAGGGTCCCCTCTTCCTAGTTTATGAGAGACTCCCTGACAGGACTTCCCTCCCGTTTCAGGAAAATCCTCTTATGTGGGGAGATGACACCCTAAGGTTTGGAGAAGGACTTACCCTCCTGTGGCCAGGCCCCCTGCAGCAAGAAGAACCCTGGAAAGAAAGATCATGATGGAAGATCCATTTGCAGGCAAACAAGGCCTTCCTTGCTGCCCCCACTGGGCTGTGAGTCTTGATAGCCAGCCCCTTCCTGGGCCGAAGGGAAACTCACCATCAGAGCCTACCTGCACCCAAGAACAGTGCTCTCGGCTGTGCAGAGACCCAGCCTCCAGGCCCATATCCCCACCCCAAGCCCATATCTCCACTCCAGGCCCATATCTCCACTCCAGGCCGATATTTCCACCCTAGACCCATATAGCCAATCCAGGCCCACATCTCCAATCCAGGCTCAGATCTCCACCCTCGGCCCATATCTCCAATCCAGGCCCATATCTCCACTCCAGGCCCATATCTCCACTCCAGTCCCATATCTCCTCTCCAGTCCCATATCTCCACTCCAGGCCCATATCTCCACCCCAGGCCCAGATCTCCACCTCCAGGCCCATAACTACACTCCAGGATCATATCTCCACTCCAAGCCCATATCTCCACATCAGGCCCATATCTCCACTCCAGTCCCATATCTCCACACCCAGGCCCATATCTCCATTCCAGGCCCATATCCCCATCCTAGGCCCATATCTCCACCGTAGGCCCAGATCTCCACTCCAGGCCCATATCTCCACTCCAGGGCCATATCTCCACTCCAGGCCCATATCTACACACCAGGCCCATATCTCCACCCCATGCCCATGTCTCCACTCCAGACCCATATCTCCACCCCACGCCCATATCTCCACTCCAGGCCCATATCTCCAACCCACGCCCATATCTCCACCTCCAGGCACATATCTCCACCCCACGCCCGTATCTCCACTCCAGTCCCATATCTCCACTCCCGGCCCATGTCTCCACCCCATGCCTATATCTCCACTCCAGTCCCATATCTCCACTCCAGGCCCATATCTCCACTCCAGACCCATATCTCCACTCGGCCCATGTCTACACTCCAGGCCCATATCACCACCTCCAGGCCCATATCTCCACTCCAGGCCCATATCTCCACCTCCAGGCCCATATCTCCACTCCAGACCCATATGTCCACTCCAGGCCCATATCTCCACTCCAGGCCCATATCTCCACTCCAGGGCCATATCTCCACTCCAGGCTCATATCTCCACTCCAGGCCCATATCTCCACTCCAGGGCCATATCTCCACTCCAGGCTCATATCTCCACTCCAGGCCCATATCTCCACTCCAGGGCCATATCTCCACTCCAGGCCCAGATCTCCACCTCCAGGCCCGTATCTCCACTCTAGTCCCATATCTCCACTCCAGGCCCATATCTCCACCTCCAGGCCCATAACTTCACTCCAGGCCCATAACTCCACTCCAGGCCCATATCTCCACCTCCAGGCCCATATCTCCACTCCAGGGCCATATCTCCACTCCAGGCTCATATCTCCACTCCAGGCCCATATCTCCACTCCAGGGCCATATCTCCACTCCAGGCCCAGATCTCCACCTCCAGGCCCCTATCTCCACTCTAGTCCCATATCTCCACTCCAGGCCCATATCTCCACCTCCAGGCCCATAACTTCACTCCAGGCCCATAACTCCACTCCAGGCCCATATCTCCACCTCCAGGCCCATATCTCCACTGCAGACCCATATCTCCACTCCAGGCCCATATCTCCACTCCAGGCCCAGATCTCCACTCCAGGCCCAGATCTCCACTCCAGGCCCAGATCTCCACCTCCAGGCCCCTATCTCCACTCTAGTCCCATATCTCCACTCCAGGCCCATATCTCCACCTCCAGGCCCAGAACTTCACTCCAGGCCCATAACTCCACTGCAGACCCATATCTCCACTCCAGGCCCATATCTCCACTCCAGGACCATATCTCCACTCCAGGCTCATATCTCCACTCCAGGCCCGTATCTCCACCTCCAGGCCCATAACTTCACTCCAGGCCCATAACTCCACTCCAGGCCCATATCTCCACTCCAGTCCCATATCTCCACTCCAGTCCCATATCTCCACCCTAGGCTCCTACCTCCCCTCCAGGTTCCTATCTCTCCTCCAGGTTCCTCTCTCCACTCCAGGTTCCTATCCCCACTCCAGGCCCATATCTCCACTCCAGGCCCAGATCTTCACTCCAGGCCCAGATCTCCACTCCAGGCGCAGATCTCCACTTCTAGGCTCATCACTCCATCTCTAGGCCCAGATCTCCACTCCAGGCCCATAACTCCACCTCCAGGCCCATATCTCCACCTCTGGGCCCAGATCTCCATCCCCACGCTCCCTCCCTCTATTCCCTTCCAGGACTCACCAACACACGCCATGATGATGACCATGAGCGACATGGTGCTGCCGGTGCAGACAGGCGGCCGCGCCCCAGCTCAGCTCAGCAGCGCACAGGATGTTATTTGGCGCCCTGCCCATGCAGTTTACATGTTGACCACATCATGGGAGGGTGACGTACGCAGGCTTTTTCTACCTTGCATGAGGCCCAGTGGGTGCTCGCTCAAGAGCAGAACATGGCTTCCTGGAAATTGCTCTCACTAGAATTGACACCTCGCGTCCTTCACTATGACCAACTCAAAACATGTCTTAGATCCAACCTCCCAAACATGAGATGCCTAAAATCTGTGCTAACATGAAAGACTTTTCATGAATTTTTATTGTTTTTATCTGAGATTCGAACTCTTCTTCCTGTGTAATATGCAAAATATCTAATAGGTATTATTAGTGTTTTCAGAGTCATTGTGACTAATAAACCATTAGAATTGTTCATGCTTGTATTTCTAGTATTACAGCAGAACCAGTTCAAATGATTTAAATTCCCAGGGAAGGATTATGCAATTATTTACAATCTTAGAATTGTACTTTATCAGCAAAAACCACACATGTAAATTCTGGATTTTTGTAGTTTTATCTATAATTTGTCTCATGACTCAAGATTCCAGAGTCCCAACTTTGGAGTTTGCTCTCTCTCTGTCTCTCTGCCTCCCTCATTTTAAATTTTACAGAAATATCCAGTAACATAATGCTATAGAAAATCAAGTTTCCCCCAGCAGGTCGGGAAGCCGAGGTGGGCGGATCAACTGAGATGAGGAGATTGAGAGCAGCCTGGCCAACACAGTGAAACCGCGTCTCTGCTAAAAATTCAAAAATTAGCCATGCCTGGTGGCAGGCACCTGAAACGCCAGCTACTCAAGAGACTGAGGCACGAGAATCGCCTGAACCTGGGAGGCGGAAGTTGCAGTGAGCTGAGATTGCTCCACTACAGTCCCGCCTGGGCGACAGAGCAAGACTCCGCCTCAAGAAAAAAAAATAGCAAGTAGCCTATAATAACAAATTAGAGGGCTCTGGCTACTAAATTTAAAGGGTTTTATAAGGCTACATGAAGTGCAGCATCCTCAAGAGTGTGGACACAGAGAGCCCCTTAGCAGAAACAGTGTCTAAAATACATCCGTGTACACACAGTCCCTTTAGAGTTGACAAAGGCTGCCGTGTGGTTTAAGGTGGCATAGAATGTCTTCTTAATAAATAATATTAAACCAAAGGGTTACACGTAGGAAAAAATAAATCTAAACTTATTCTCACACTATAAAAACACTTCTTACTTTTTATCTAGTTATTGTACATTTTTTATGATTTATATTTAAAATTGAGAAATAAAAGTCATATACGGTCATCCTTTACTATTCGTGGGTGATTGGTTTCAGGATCTCCACTCAGGTACCAAAATCTGCAGATGCTCAAGCCTCTTACATAAAATGACACAGCATTTGGATATAACCCATGCACATCCTCCTGTATACATGAAATCATCTCTTGATTACTTATAATTCCTGATACAGCCTACACACTGCCTCATTTGTGTCCATTCAACATAGTTTTGCATTTTGAAACTTTGTGGACATTTTCTCTGAATATTTTTGATTTACACTTGGTTCAATAAACACCTGTAAACCCCACAGATATGGAGGAGCGACTGTATATTTATAGTATGAAATATGATGTGTTGATATGTGTCCCCGTGGAGATGAGACTAGCAAGGCTTATGACTCTACAAATGTTTCATCGTGGAATGACTCTGCCAGCTTTCCAGGTTGCAGAGAGTAAGAATATCACTTGTTCATGTGATTCACGATCCTTGGAACCTCCTATGTGCTGCATCTTTGGATGGAAATTGGAGTCCCAGAGACAAATGAGGCTCCACCCTGCTTCCAGAAGCTCAGAGTCCAGGGGTGAGAACCCAGCGGAGAACAGATGGGGTTATGTGGACATGGTAATGATAACAGCGGTTTCTTTCAGCGAATACAGTGTCACATTACCTGAAGCAATGAGGGCAGACATGTTTATTTGAAGAGGAGACAGCTACATTGAAATCACAAAAAATTTTATAAGTTTCACTGCTGACAGAAGGCTGGAAAATAGTCCGAAGAAAGGTGAAACAGCATGAGGGAAGGTGGAACAGCACGTGGGTAAGTGCCACGTCAAGAGGGAGCCTCTTGTATGTTTGGAATTGTGAGTTCCTCAGTGTGATTGCAGCCTCAAGTAGACTAGGAAGTAAGCCAGTTAGGTTGGAGAGGTGGGCAGGGGTCAAGTGAAATGGAGAACTGTGGGCTAAGCAAAGGAGTGTGTTTTCTTTCCAGCAGGCAGTGGGGACCTAGACATTTGTAAGCAAGAGAGAGGCACCAGATTTGTGGCGTGAGGAGGAGCGATGCCCTAAGATGAAGACTCACGCCTTCAGATTCCAGCTGCTGGTACATGGGAGCTGGCAACTCGGTTTTGAGACAGGGCTGTTGTCTCCCTAGAAGACGTCCTCAAGGCCTGACTGTGGTGCTCATGGGCAGGAGACAACTTTGGATCTGGGCTTAGCATTTGGAAGTTCCGTGTACAAGATGGTATCTGTAGGGGGTGTCTTGGGCCTCTGAGAAGGGCGAGTGATTTTTCTCTGTGTGAAAACGCAGTGATCCAACTGTGCGTATGTCACCTCCTCAGGGTCTTGTTCATCAGAGTCCTGGAGAGAGGGAAATGCTGAGTGAGGGAGGGAAATGCTGAGTGAGGGAGGGTGCTCACGTTTTCCAGGACTGTTTGGGAATAACACTAGCCACGAGGCTGGGCCGAGGAGCACCTACCTCGCTGTTGGCTGTTCTGTTCCCTGCAGGCTCTTGGTCCATTACAGCAGCATCTGTAGGAGACGGAAGTCAACAAAAGAGCTCGGAGGGCACTTCTGGGTCCTCATTTCATAAGCAGATACCAACAAACAGGGGGAGGCCATAGGTGCCTGAGGTCCCTCAGTTGCCAACAGCAGACTCAGACATTCTATCTCTCTGAGCTCAAGGACCCATCCCATGAATAGCTCTGAGTTCCCATCCCATTGATTCTGTCTCCCACTTTCTGCCTGTCATGGAACCTTCTCCTGGATGTGAGTGGCTGCAGGGGACATGAGGATACAGTTCAGAATCAGGCAACGGTCTGTGAGCTGAAGGCAGGGGCAGGGAGTCTGGTGCTCTCTCTAGAAAGTCCTGCCTCTGTGGCTCCTGTCTTGGGCCAGGGACCATCCTGCCAGTGAGGAACACACAGCTGTGTGCTCCCATCCTGCTTCCCCACATGGCCCTGAGCTCTCTGGCCTGTGCCCCGTGAGACTTACTTTTTTTGTTGGAGCACCAGAGATGAAGGAGAAAGAAGAGGAGGAGGATGAAGAGGATGATGACCACTGAGGTCCCAATCAGAATGTGCAGGTGTCTGGGGTTACCTGGAAGAAGAGGAGACACCAGTAAGAAGCTAATCATAGCAGTTTCTCTATATGAATTGTCTTGCATTTCTTGATTGACAGGTAACCACTTACAGCATCTCTTTCGGACAAGCACCCAGATGGCGGGAGATCTAGCTTCCTCCTGCTTTCTCAGTTATAGCTCTCATAGTAACCATGGAACGTGCTGAGGATACAACTACTTTAGTTGAGATGTTTGACCCCTTCAAACCTCACATTGAAATTTAACCCCCAGTGTGGGAGGTTGGGCCTCTTGGGAGGTGTTTGGGTCATGGAGGTGGATCCATCATGAACAGATCAATGCTGTCCCAAGGAGACGGGGTTAGCAAGTTCCCTCTCTATTAGTTCCTGGAGAGCTGGTTGTTAAAAAGAGCTTGGAAGCTCCATTGCTCCCCCTCCCCCTTGCTCCCTCTCTTGCCGTGTGATCTCTGTGGTCTCTGCACAGACAGACCCTCCTTCCCTTCTGCCAGAGTGGGAGCGGCCTGAGGCCATCATAAGAAATAGATGCTGGTGCCATGCTTCCAGTACAGCCTGCAGAACGGTGAGGCAAACCAATCTCTTCTTTAGAAGTTACCCAGGCTCAAGTGTTCCTTTAGAGCAACAAAAATGGACTAAGACAGCAAAGTCCTGAGATCAGGAGGATCGTCCCAGAACAGCCTGGGCTGTCTTCCTGTTCTTCCTGGAGGAGGACGTCATGCAGTGCTTTAGCTGAGTGCTTCCTGTGGCTCCAGGGTACAAAACCCAGGCTGGGCTGCTTTCTGGCTTCCCCCAGCTACACTGCAAATGGGGTGACTCCACATGTCTCGAGCAGCTTTTCTGAGCCTTGGGGAACTGGCTCACATTGAAATGTAGGCTTCTGTTGTCACTCGCTGCTTATCTGTTAGTAATGAACCTGCCTATGTAACGTATTCTCTGTGTGTTCTGTCTCCCTGGAGTGACGGTGAGTGATAGGAATTGGCATAGGCCCAGGTGCAGTCCAGGAGGTGTTTAGAGTCTTCTCTGGGAAGACTGGACTGGGATTGATACACAGCGAATGTGCTTTAGGATTTCTACATCCACGGCATTCTTGAGTTAAACAACTTGCATTCTCCAAGAAAAGGAAACAAAAGTGAAATCAATATAAAAAAAGCGAAGTAGAATTCTCTTATGTCAAACAGCCAGAAAATAGTGTTGAAGCCCGTGTGAAATGTGCTACTCTTTGTGATCTCGGGAGACACATGTTAGGCTGCTGTTCTACCTCAGAGGCTGGGGGAAGGACCACCCCCTCGACTATCTATTGCTTCAATACCACCTGTCCTCCTGTGAATTAGTAGGAAAGGGGAGCAGGAGCTAGTGCTGGCACTGATCTCTGATTCCAAGATCTGGACTCACTCCAAGGAGTATTAGCATTTACCTCCCCATGATCTATCTGTATCTCCACAGGTGATTGGAAGTAGGGGTGAGATGGGGGATTTGGGTGAGGGGGCAAGTTTTTTTTGTGATGACCAGAGCACTTTCTCTATTCCAGGATTTGTGCTGGAGGATTCAGCGGGCTTTCACATTTTCTATATGATCTCATGCTCACAGAAAGCCAAATACGGAAGAGGTTTTAGGCTGATTGCCTAATGGATAAGATAAAGGATCAAAGAAGTAATTATAGAGAAATAGAAAAATGATGATGGGAATTCAGGTGCCTTTGTCATTCGTGTGTGTTTTATTATATTTATGCATTTCTTATTTTTATTTTTTGAGATGGAGTCTCCTTGTGTCACCCAGGCTGGAGTGCAGTGATGCGATCTCCACTCACTGCAACCTCCACCTCCTGGGTTGAAGTCATTCTCCTGCTTCATCCTCCAGAGCAGGAGCTGGGATTACAGGGATGCACCACCATGCTCGGCTAATTTTTGTATTTTTAGGAGAGATAGGGTTTCACCATGTAGAGATAGGGTTTCTCCATGTTGGCCAGGCTGGTCTCGAACTCCTGACTTCTTGGAATCCACTGGCCTTAGCCTCCTGCAGTGCTGGGTTACAGGAGTGAGCCACCGTTCACAGACTTGTATACTATGCTATAATAGGTCCCTTCATTTCCACCACCCCTCATATATCTGTCACTCCTTTGCCAGGTATTGATTTATGTGTAGGAGGAATAAATCTCAGAAAGAAATTAATTTAGCAAGGATTAAACAACTAGGAAACTCAAACCCAGCAAGCCCTCCCTGCAAA
The DNA here is from genome assembly GCF_000001405.40 of Homo sapiens. Taxonomy (NCBI): domain Eukaryota; kingdom Metazoa; phylum Chordata; class Mammalia; order Primates; family Hominidae; genus Homo; species Homo sapiens. The sequence goes on along the minus strand of NT_187676.1, from coordinate 103,086 downwards.
TGATTCTACCTCCCAAACATAGCTTATATCCATCTGCTTCATCCACTTAGGGTCTAAATCAGCACCACATTTCACCAGTGGGGCGGCAATTGCCTTTTCCACTGTCTCCTAGATTCCAGTTACGCACCTGGGCCTCCCTTATTTTCATGTCAGTCACTATTAATCATGTAGGGATTCCTGGCTACCCCGAGGTGAATCCAATGGCTGTGAGTGTCAAACACACACTCCTTGTTGCTCCTTAGTTTCCTGTGTACCCAGTGTGCTCTCCGTCTCTCCACAGTCGTCTTGTCATTCTCCCCACCTCATTCCCAGCATTTCAGGCAGAGCCTCTTCCTTCCACATCAGATTGTTTTCAGCTTTCTGCCTTCACGGCTGACAGCTGTGTGTGGAAAATCCTTCCGCCAATCTTTCAGGGGTTCAATCCGTGTTTTTCATTAATGTCACAAATATCTGATTAGTGAGACCTTCTCTGTCACCCAAAATTATACACTCAGCATTATCTATTATTTATTTTGAATTCTGGCTGGGCAAAGTGGCTCACGCCTGTAATCCCAGTACTTTGGGTTGCTGAGATGGTCGGATCACTTGAGGTTGGGAGTTTCAGACAAGCTTGGCCAACATGGTGAAACATCCTCTCTACAAAAAATATACAAAAAGAATTAGCCGGGCATGGTGGCAGTTGCCTGTAATCCCAGCTACTCGAGAGGGTGAGGCAGGAGAATCACTTGGATCCAGGAGACGCAGGTTGCAGTGAGCCAAGATCGTGACACTGCACTGTAGCCTGGAAGACAGAGGGAGACTCTGTCTCAATAAATAAATGAACGAACAAACAAATAGATTTCATGCACAGATGCTTCCCAATGGATCATTCATTTATTGGTCCACTTGTGCATTCATTTTCTGTCCTCCCATTTAACCATCTGCAATATCAGTGTCCCAAGAGCAGAGGCCAAATGCATCTTGTTCACCGTTCGTGGAAGGCAGGAGAATGCTGTCCCACCCCAAAATGTCCCTGTCCTGGCCTCCATAGCTTGTGAATATCTTATTTTACATGGAAAGAAGGAATGAAGATTGCAGATGGAATTACGGTTGCTAGTCAGCTGAACTTAAAACAAGGGTATCCTGAATGATTTCCGGGAGATTATGATGGATTTTCATCTTGGTGAACCCAATAGAATCCCCAAGTTTTCAAAAGATAAGGAAGAAGGGAGAGCAGCATTCAGAGAAAGAGGTGTGGTAAGGAAGAAGGGTCTGAGTGATGCCATGTGAGATGTGACCAGTCTTTGTGGGCTTTGAGGAAGGAGGAAGGGGACCAGGAGCCAAGGAACTGGGAGCCTTTAGAAGCTGGGACAAGTGAGAAGCAGATTCTTGCCTGGAATCCTCAGAGGGAAGGCAGCCTTGCTGTCACCTTGATTTTAGCCCAGTAAGATGCACTTCCTACTTTGAGCTACAGCACTGTAAGATAATTAAAAAACCGTTTTGTTTTCACCCACGAATCTTGTGGAAATTTGTTATGGCAACAATAGGAAAGGATTCCAACTGCACAGCCTGAGCATGGGGCCGTGGCTGAATGAGTCAGTGAGTCGAAGTGTGCGTGCATGAGCTCTGTTCTCTGTTACGGCAAGGCTCTTGCTCTGCTGAGTCAGCCAGGGTTGCTTCATGACCAACAGTAATTCATTCCTTGGCAAGTGGAACTTCTCTAAAACACCTCGCCCTCATCAGATGTTCCCTTCCCTTCCCTCTCTCAAGTCCCCAGGAATTTATCCTCCAGTTAGGAATGCAGGAAGAAAAAACACTGCATGTTTCCTGAGAAGGATGTCAGATTGGCAATCATTCTTCTAGCTTGTAGGAGGTCTCACCTGCAGGACATTAAAGGTTAAGAGACTTCGCTGAGCCCTTTGGTGGCCCTAGATCCCTTTCACTGTTGGAGTGTCTGGAGTTCAGAGATGGTGGAAGACAGGCCCTCATTCACAGAGCTGGGAGGTTTGAGCCAACACTTGCATCCAAGGCTTCCACCTCCCCAGGTTTCCAAAAGCAGAGATAAGAGGGGTCCTTTACTCACCAGATTTGGAGCTTGGTTCTGTGGGTGAAGGCCAACTACTTGAAGGGTTTCCTAGAACATGGGACAGGAGAGATGTGAGGAAATGAGGGTGCTTGTCCTCTACTCAATGGAAATCTTTGAGGTTGGTTCATGGCCAACACTCTGTTATCTAATGTTGGACCCTGGGAGTCTTGGGATCCTCTTCTCCATAATTTTTGTGTGCGATGCCCACTGTCTTGAGACTTGAAGGTATAAAGAGAAAACAGGAGCATCACACTACCTGACTTAGAAATATGTTACAGAGCTGTAGTAAGCAAAACAGCATGACATTGGCATAAAGAAAGGCACATAAAAAATGAAACAGAATGGAGAACACAGATATAATCCATGCATTTACATCCAATGGCTTTTTTTGTGTGTGTGTGTGATAGAATCTTGCTCTGTCATGCAGGCTGGAGTGCAGAGGTGCAATCTCAGCTCAATGCAACCTCCACTTCCTGGATTCAAGCAATTCTCTTGCCTCAAACACCCGAGTAGTGGTATTACAGGCACTGGTCACCATGCTCAGCTAATTTTTGTATTTTTAGTAGAGACGAGGTTTCACTCTGTTGGCCAGCCTGGTCTTGAACTCCTGGCTTCAGGTGATCCACCCGCCTCGGCCTCCCAAAGTGCTGGAATTGCAGGTGTGAGCCACCATACCCAGCCCATTTAATGGACTTTGACAAAGGTGCCGAGAACTTACAATCAGGAAAGGACAGTCTTTTCAATAAATGGTGTGGGGAAAACTGGATATCTACATGCAGAGGAATAAAACTGCATCTATACCTGTCACCATACACAAAAATCAAATGAAAATGGATTAAAAACATGAGTCTAAGGCCTGAACCTATGAAACATGTAGAAGAAAATAATGGGGAAGACATTTGTCTGACGAAAGACATTTTGTTTAAAACCTTCAAAACACAAGTAATCAAAGCAAAAAATAGACCATTAGGATTACATCAAACCAAGCAACTTCTGCACCACAAAAGATAAACCAAGAAAGTGAAGAGACAACCGACAAAATAGGAGCAAATATTTGCAAACTATTCATCTGAGACGGGATTAATAACTGGAAATATAAGAAGCTCAAACAACTCAATAAAACAATTTAATTAAAAAACGAGCAAAAGACATGAGGAGACATTTCTCCACAAACAAAACATAGAAATGGCGATCACGTATATGAAAAAGTACTCGGCATCACTCATCATCAGAGAAATGTAAATTACAATCGCGATGAGTTTTCATCTCATCCCATTAAAATGCCTTTTAGGCCGGTGGCTCACGCCTGTAATTCCGGCACTTCAGGAGGCGGAGGTGGGCGGATCACCTGAGGTCGGGAGACCAGCCTGACCATCATGGAGAAACTCCCTCTCTACTAAACATACAAAAATTAGCTAGGCGTGGTGGCACATGCCTGTAATCCCAGCTACTTTGGAGGCTGAGGCAGGAGAATCAGTTGAACGCGGGAGGCGGAGGTTGCAGTGAGCTGAGATCACACCCTTGCACTCCAGCCTGGGAGACTATGAGTGAAACTCCATCTCAACATAAATAAATAAATAAAATAAAGTGAAGTAAAATGGCTTTTACTGCAAGACAGGCAAAACAAATGCTGGCAAGATGGTAGAGAAAGGAGAACCCTGGTACCCTGTTGGTAGGAATGTAAATTAGTACAACTATTATGGAGAAAAGTATGGAAATTCTTTAAAAAACTAAAAGGAGGCTGGGCATAGTGGCTTATGCCTGTAACTTCAGCACTTTGGGAAACCGAGGCAGGCACCTCACTTGAGGTCAGGAGTTTGAGAGCAGCCTGCCCAAAATTGGGATATCCCGTCTGTGCTAAAAAAATACAAAAATTAGCCAGGCATGGTGGCGTGCACCTGTAATCACAGCTACTAGGGAGGCTGAGTCAGGACAATCATTTGAACCTAGGAGGCACAGGTTGCAATGAGCCAAGATCTCACCACTTAGACTCCAGCTTGGACTAAGGAGGGAAACTCTTTCTCAAAAAAGAAAAAAAAAAAAAGAGAACTTTCATAGTGTCCAGCAATTTCACTACTGGGTTTATATCCAAAGGAAAGGACATCAGTGTATCGAAGTGATATCTGCACTCATATGACTGTTCCAGCACTGTTCACAGTAGCCAAGATGTGGAGTCAACCTACCTGCCCATCAGTGGGTGAATGGATAGAGAACTGTGGTACACACACACAGTGGAGACTACTCATCCATAGAAACAATAACATCCTGTCATTTGCAGCCACATGGATGGAACTGGAGGTCATTACAAAGATTCCCATTTCTCACCCACATGCAGGAGATAAAAGGTGGATCTCATGAAGGTGGAGAATACAATGGTGGACACCAGAGGCCAGGAAGGGAAGGGTGGAGGGTAACAAAAAAAAGAATATAGATGTATTTATTTATTTAGAAACAGAGTCTCTCTCTGTCTCCCAGGCTGCAGTGCAGTGGCATGATCTCGGCTCAGTGCAACCTCTGCCTCCTGGGTTTAAGTGCTTCTCCTGCCTCAGCCTCCCAAGTAGCTAGGACTACAGGTGCATGCCAGCATGCTCGGCTAATTTTTCTTGTCTGTTTAGTAAAGATGAATTTCCCACATGTTGGCCAGGGTGATCTCGAGTTCCTGATCTTAAATGATCCACCTTCCTTGGCCTCTCAAAGCGCCGAGATTACAACCGTGAACCACCACACCCAGCATATAAAGGTATTTATGACCACTAGATTTTACTTTTAAAAATGGTAAAGGTGGTAAATTATATAGTTACATTTAACCTCAATAAATATTTTTGAAAATGAAAAGAAAAGGGTGTAGGGGTTGCTGGTGATGATATCTCTCTGTGTGGGTGAGAGGCCATGATGGGCTTCTGGGAAATGGATAAGATTGAGGGGCTGAGGGAACCTCTGATCTCCCCAAACTAAGCCCAGTCTCCCCTTCTCTGGGTCTGTCCTGACCGCTTTCTCCATCTGCCTGGGTGCCTGGAGCCCTGATCGGAGGCCTCCATGCAGGCCATGAAGGAGGGTTTGGAGGTGCCCTGTCTGCCATCCTGCGCCCTGACTCCGCCCTCACACCTGCTGTGTCTTCTCTCTGCATCTGTCCATGCTTTTCTCCATCATCAGCAGGAAGCTCCTTAGCTAAGGATTTAGGATCATAGGACATGAGAGAGATATGGGCTTTTCTCACCTGTGACAGAAACAAGCAGTGGGTCACTCGGGTCTGACCACTCGTAGGGAGAGTGACGGAAAGAGCCGAAGCATCTGTAGGTCCCTCCGTGGGTGGCAGGGCCCAGAGGGAAATCTGCCTGGAATGTTCTGTTGACCTTGCGCACTGCAGGGAGCCTACGTTCATGGGCTCCCCCCTCCCTGGATAGATGGTACATGTCATAGGAGCTCCGGGAGCTACAGGACAAGGTCACGCTCTCTCCTGCCTGAACCTTGGGGCCCGGCTGGGCTGAGAGAGAAGGTTTCTCATATGGACCTGGAAGGAGAAGAGGCAGTTTCCTCAGGGAGGTTCTTCCTTGTCATAGCTCCCCTCATACCTGAGCTGAGAACTCACTCCCCTGCTCTATGACCTAATGCTCTCTCTCTCTCTCTCACCCTCCACCCCATCTCTCTTCATATCTGTTTCCTCCTTCTACCTTTTCTGTCTCTCTAGGTCTATGACCTCACTTCCCCACCCTGAGGTATGTTTTCCCTTTTTGGATTGTTTTATTCCCTCTGATCCTCCTTGGATTGGTTGACTTGATCTTCCTTTTTCTTTAATTTTGAGTCTCTCACTTTCTGTCTTGTTCATAACTTTCTGCACATTTCTATCTATTTATCTATTTTGTGTCTATCTACAAATTATCTATCATCTATATTTATGTATCACTTATCTATCTCTCTATCAATTGTCTGTCTGTCTATCTATCCATCAATCATCTATTATCTATATATGTATCATCTATCTCTCTCTCTATTACCTCTCTGTCTGCCTCTCTGTCTCTATTTATGTATCATCTATGTATATATCTATGTGTCTATCATCATCATCGTCATCTCTATGTATCATCTATCAGTCATCATCTATGTATCTATAACCAATCCATTATCTATCATCTACCTATTTATCATCTATCTACGTCTATCTATCCATCTATCATCTCTCTCTCTCCGTCTCCTTGTCTTTCTCTGCCTCTCAGTCTCTCTAGTTCTATTTGGAATCTCTGCAATCCATCCCCACATATTTATCTTTCTCTGTCTTTGTGTCCCTCCCTCAGGGTTCTGATTTTGGGGCTTTTCTCTCCTCCTTTCCATCATTCTCTCCATTCTGCCCTCTTTTCTTTCTTTTTATGTGTCTGTGAATCTCTTAATCTCCTTCTTCTGGCTCATTTTGTGTGTGTTTATGTCTTTGCTTTTTGGTGTCCCTGATTTTTCTCTGTGTCTCTCAGCGATCCTATCATATGTGGGATTATTTGGAATATGAGCCTCAGAATCCAGTCTGGGGACCCCAAGTTCACACAGCATACAGGGGTTGGTGTTCAGGGGCCATGATATCCTGGGATGATTACTCTCCATTGCCTGGAAGGCAGAGGTGTCAGAATAAACACGGCATCTGTAGGTGGCACAAGGCCTGAGGCCACAGGGCCCAACTCAGGTCAGAAATATGGGTGTCCTTGGGTTCTTCTGGTAGGAACACTTTGTGGAGGTAAAACAGAAATGAAACTTCTAACCTGTGCCAGGTCTCTGAGCAAAGTCAGCATGGAAGGACACCTCTCTCTGGGACATGTCTGTCTGTCTGAGTGTCTCCTTTACCTCTTTCTCTCTTTTCTACCTCCCTGTATGGCCCCTGTGTCTGTCCTCTGTTATGACACCTGTTCTGTACTTATGTCTCCTGTTTCTCTGTCTCTGTTGGTACAGACCTCACCAAGTCACTCTCTTTCCATAAGAATCCCACACTTATCTTCCTCATGACCACCTGGGGGTTCCAAGTCCTGGATCATTCACTCTGTGTCCCAGTGACAATGAGAACAATGTCTAGACACTCTCACCTGTGACCACGATGTCCAGGGGATCACTGGGAGCTGACAACTGATAGGGGGTGTGAGTAACAGAACCGTAGCATCTGTAGGTCCCTGCAAGGGCAAGCATCATGGGACCGATGGAGAAATTGGCCTTGGAGACCCCATCATGGATCTGTCCAACGAGGCGTGAGGGGTCCTTAGAGATCCCCTCTTTGTGCAGAAAGAAGTGCTCAAACATGATATCTGACCAACATTGCAGGATGACTCTCTCTCCTGATTTCACCAGGGGACCTGGGTGGGCCAGGAGGGAAGGTTTTCTGTGGTTTCCTAGAAAGAGAAGTTGTGAGTTTAGAAGGCATCTCTCTTTATCATCCCATCCATGGCACCTGGAATGAGTGAGGGTTCCCCTCCCCGTGTCTGTCTCTCTCCTCCCTCTCTGCATCTCCGTGTCTTTTCTGTGCCCATATCCCCTGGTGCAGGTGCCTCCATCTGTCTTCCTCCCTCTTCTCTGTCCCTCTGTCTCCAGTAGCCCCTGACTCCCTTGCCACTGTGAAGACAGCCTCATCTCTTGGGCTGTTGTATCTGTTTCCCACTAATCTCTTTCCTGCTGTCTATGTGGGGGTGGAAGAGGACAGGCTGCATGTCCAGGCTCTTAGCAGCCTGAATCAATCTCTTTTGAACAAATCCCCAGTTCAAGTGATTCTCTTGCCTCAGCCTCCCCAGTCGTTGGATTACTCGCGCCCACCACCACATCTGGCTATCCTTGTTTGGTTTCCTAACTTGTCCTTGACCTGGGTTCCTGTGTTGGTTTCCTGTTGCTGCTGCAGAAAATTACCACAAACATGGCAGCGGGAGAGAACACACTGACCCCTTCCACTTCTGGAGACAGAAATTGGATCCAGTTCTCCCTGTGCTGAAATCAAGGTGTCTACAGGGCTGCGTTCCCTCTGGAGAGTCAGCGAATCAGTTCTCTTGACTTCTCCAGCCCTTAGAGGCCACCTGCATTCTGTGACTAGTGGTCTTCCTCCACCTTCAAAGCCCGCAGTGGCTGATAGCGTCTCCCTCCCACTACACTGCTCTAATCCCCACTCCCCTCTTCCTCCACCTCTCATGTGGACCCTTGTGATTACACTGAGCCCAGTGGGACAGTCCAGGCTGTCTCCCCATCTCAAGGTCAACTCATCAACAACCTGAGCTCCACCTTCCCCTTCAGTCCCCTGCCCTGTAACATAAATAGTCACAGGCTCCAGGGATTACAATGTAGCCATCATTGGGGACAGTGATTCTTCCCACCACAGCACCCATTTCCCCTGTATTCAATCTCCCTTGACCCCAAATACAGTCAGGGCCTGGGTGATGGGACCCTGACGGACACCCCCACCAGAAGCTCTGGGATTCAGGAGGTGGGACAGTGAGAAGCCCAGACGGAAAGCCTCTGACCTGTGACCATGATCACCACGGGGTTGCTGGGTGCCGACCACCCAGTGGGGGAGTGTGGGTGTGAACCCCGACATGTGTAGTTCCCTGCATGTGCTGTGGTCACAGGGCTCATGTTGAAGCTCTCCTGGAATAATCTGCCATGGAAGATGGGAACGTGGATTCTGTCTTCTTTGTATAGCATGAAATTGTTAAACCTATGATGATAGTGACACCGAAGAGTCACGTGTCCTCCTCGAGGCACCACAGCGCTGGGCCAGGCAGACAGGAAGGGCTTGTCCTGACCACCTGGGGGAGAAGGAGGCACTGCCTTAGAGAGGAGGATGTGGAGCCGCCCCTCACTCCCAGTGCCCAGAAGATTCTCCCCATTTCCACTTTCTAAGGCTCCTACCACACCTGGGTGCCCAGGGCTACAGGAAGGACCCATCCTGCATAGACATGGCGTCTCCCTACAACAAGTGTCAGCTGAGAACTTTGAGCAAGTGCTGGAGAAGCAACTCTTACTAGATTTTAATACTGCAAAATTACTCATATAAAACAACACAAAGTAGACACGGCATGGAGGGCAAGTCCTATGTGAATGGAATATCAGCCAATTGATGAACTGAGCCCCCATCAGAGGATTTGGAATGTCAGGGCCATGGCTGTGGTTTCCTCACCTTTTCTGGTAGAAAGACCACAGCCACACTGCAGCCCCTACCATCACGGAAACGCTGGAGGGTGTGAGTTACACCTTTGTCCTCAGAGGACCTGCTGTTCCTAGCACTGCTTCCCTCTCTTTCTCTGCTGCTGACACCACTTCCTCCCTGCACACCCATCTTGGAGCACCCTAGTCTCACCCCAGTCTTCACAGAGCTTGACTCAGGAAAGGGAAAGAAAGGCCGGGGAGGGCAAGGTCAGAAATGTGGGCCGAGCATCCGAGGGTCCCCTCTTCCTAGTTTATGAGAGACTCCCCGACAGGACTTCCCTCCCATTTCAGGAAAATCCTCTTATGTGGGGAGATGACACCCTAAGGTTTGGGGAAGGACTCACCCACGTGTGGACCGGCCCTCTGGACCAAGAAGAACCCTAGAAAGAAAGATCATGATGGACCATCCATCTGCAGGCAAACCAGGGCACCCTGCTGCCCCCACTGGGCTGTGCGTCTTGGCAGCCAGGCCCTTGCTGGGCTGAAGGTAAACTCACCCTCGCTGCCTACCTGCCCCCAGGAACAAGGATCTCGGCTGTGCAGAGACTCAGCCTCCAGGCCCAGATCTCTACCTCCAGGCCTAGATCTACACAACAGGCCCAGATCTCCACTCCAGGTCCGTATCTCCACTCCAGACCCATATCTCCTCTCCAGGCTGATAAGTCCACTCCAGGCCCATATCTCCACTCCAGGCTCCTATCTCAACTCCAGGCTCATATATCCACTCCAGGCTCATATCTCCACTCCAGGCCCATATTTCCACTCCAGGCTTCTATCTCCTCTCCAGGCCCATATCTCCTTTCCAGGCTTGTATGTCTGCTCCAGGCCCGTATCTCCACCCCAGGCCCATATCTCCACTCCAGGATCATATCTCCACTCCAGGCCCAGATCTCCACTTCATGCCCTTAACTCCACCTCCGGGCCCATAACTCCACCTCTAGGCCCATATCTCCACTCCAGGCCCATATCTCCACTTCAGGCCCATATCTCTACTGCAGGCCCATAACTCCACCTCCAGGCCCATATCTCCACTCCAGGCCCATCGCTCCACTTCTAGGCCCATCACTCCACCTCTAGGCCCACATCTCCCCTCCAGGCCCATCCATATCTCCCCTCCAGGCCCATATCTCCACCCCAGGCACATATCTCCACCCCAGGCCCATATCTCCACTCCAGGCCCAGATCTCCACTCCAGGCACATATCTCCACCCCAGGCCCCTATCTCCACTCCAGGCCCAGATCTCCACTCCAGGCCCAGATCTCCACTTCAGGCCCATAACTCCACCTCCAGGCCCATAACTCCACCTCTAGGCCCATATCTTTACCTCCAGGTCCAGATCTCCATCCCCGCACTCCCTCCCTCGATTCCCTTCCAGGACTCACCAACACACGCCATGCTGACGACCATGAGCAACATGGTGCTGCCGGTGCAGACAGGCGGCCGCGCCCCAGCTCAGCTCAGCAGCGCACAGGATGTTATTTGGCGCCCTGCCCATGCAGTTTACATGTTGACCACATCATGGGAGGGTGACGTACGCAGGCTCTTTCTACCTTGCATGAGGCCCAGTGGGTGCTCGCTCAAGAGCGGAACATGGCTTCCTGGAAATTGCTCTCACTAGAATTGACACCTCGCGTCCTTCACTATGACCAACTCAAAACACGTCTTAGATCCAACCTCCCGAACACGAGATGCCTAAAATCTGTGCTAACATGAAAGACTTTTCATGTATTTTTATTGCTTTTATCTGAGATTCAAACTCTTCTTCCTGTGTAATATGCAAAATATCTAATAGGTATTATTAAGGTTTTCAGAGCAATTGTGACTAATAAACCATTAGAATTTTTCATGATTGTATTTCTAGTATTACAGCAGAACCAGTTCAAATGATTTAAACTCCCAGGGAAGGATTATGCAATTATTTACAATCTTAGAATTGTACTTTATCAGCAAAAATCACAACATGTAAATTCTGGATTTTTGTAGATTTATCTAGAATTTGTCTCATGTCCCAAGATTCCAGAGTTCCAACTCATGGTTTGCTCTCTCTCTGTCTCTCTGCCTCCCTCATTTTAAATTTTACAGAAATATCCAGTAACATAATGCTATAGAAAATCAATTTCCCCAGCACTTTGGAAGCCGAAGTGAGTGATCAACCGAGGTCAGGAGTTTGAGACCAGCCTGGCCAATATAGTGAAACCATGTCTCTGCTAAAAATACAAAAATTAGCCATGCCTGGTAGCAGGCACTTGTAATGCCAGCTATTCAAGAGGCTGAGGCACGGAATCCCTTGAACCTGGGAGGCGGAAGTTGCAGTGAGCCGAGATCGTGCCACTGCACTCCAGCCTGGGCAACAGAGCGAGACTCTGCCTCAAGAAAAATAAAAAAAGCATAGCAAATAGCCTATAATAAATAACTAGAGGACTCCAGCTACCAAATTTTAGGGGTTGTATAAGGCTGCATAAAATGCAGCATTCTCAAGAGAGTGGACAGAGAGAGAGCCACTGAGCAGAAAACAGTGTCTAAAATACATCCGTGTACACACAGTCCCTTTATAGTTGACAAAGGCTGCCATGTGGTTTAAGGTGGAATAGAATGTCTTCTCAATAAATAACATGGGCCCAAGGGTTACACATAGAGAAAAATATATCTAAACGTATTCTCACACTATAAAACACTTGTTTATTTTATCTTGTTATTGTAATTTTTTTATGTTTTATATTTAAAATTGAGAAATAAAAATTATATACAGTCATCCCTCACTATTCGTGGGTGATTGGTTTCAGGATCTCCACTCAGATAGCACAATCTGCAGATGCTCAAGCCTCTTACATGAAATGGCACAGCTTTTGCAAATAACCCATGCACATCCTCCTGTGTACATGAAATCATCCCTTGATTATTTATAATTCCTGATACAGCCTACACACAGCTTCATTTGTGTCCATTCAACATAGTTTTGCTTTTTGAAACTTTGTGGATTTTTTCTCTGAATATTTTTGATTTATATTTGGTTCAATAAACACCTGTAAATCCCACAGATACAGAGGACCGACTGTATATTTATAGTATGAAAGATGATGTGTTGATATGTGTCGCCGTGGAGATGAGACTGACAAGGCCTATGACTCTACAAATGTTTCATCATGGAATGACTCTGCCAGCTTTCCAGGTCTGCAGAGAGTAAGAATATCACTTGTTCATGTGATTCACGATCCTTGGAACCTCTTATGTGCTGCATCTTTGGATGGAAATTGGAGTCTCAGAGACAAATCAGGCTCCACCCTGCTTCCAGAAGCTCAGAGTCCAGGGGTGAGAACCCAGTGGAGAACAGTTGGAGTTATTTGGACATGGTAATGATAACACTGGAAACTTTCAGCCAAAAAAAGAGTCACCTAAAGAATGAAGGCAGACATGTTTATTTGAAGAGGAGAGAACTACACTGAAATCAAAAAAATTTTATAAGGTTTGCTGATGCCAGAAGGCTGAAAAATAGTCTGAGGAAAGGTGGAACAGCACGAGGGAAGGTGGAACAGCACGTGTCTAAGTGCCGTGTTAAGAGAGAGCCTCTTGTATGTTTGGAATTGTGAGTTCCTCAGTGTGATTGCAGCCTCAAGTAGACTAGGAAGTAAGCCAGTTAGGTTGGAGAGGTGGGCAGGGGTCAAGTGAAATAGAGAATTGTGGGCTAAGCAAAGGAGTGTGTTTTCTCTGCAGCAGGCAGTGGGGACCTTAGACATTGGTAAGCAAGAGAGAGGCACCAGATTTGTGGTGTGAGGAAGAGTGATGCTCTAAGATGGAGACTCACGCCTTCAGATTCCAGCTGCTGGTACATTAGAGCTGGCAAGCTGGGTTTGAGACAGGGCTGTTGTCTCCCTAGAAGATCCCATCAAGGCCTGACTGTGGTGCTCATGGGCAGGAGACAACGCTCTGGGCTCAGCATTTGGAAGTTCTATACACACGCTGGTATCTGTTGAGGGTCTCTTGCTCCTCTGAGAAGGGCCAGTGATTTTTCTCTGTGTGAAAATGCAGTGATCCAACTGTGCGTATGTCACCTCCTGAGGGTCTTGTTCATCAGAGTCCTGGAGAGAGGGAAATCCTGAGTGAGGGAGGGTGTTCACATTTTTCAGGACTATTAGGGAATAAGACTGTATCCATGAGGCTGGGCTAGGAGGACCTACCTCCCTGTTCACTGTTCTGTGTCCCGCAGGCTCTTGGTTCATTACAGCAGCATCTGTAGGAGACGGAAGCAATCAAAACAGCTGGGAGGGCACTTCTGGGTCCTCATTTCATGAACAGATACCAACACACAGGGGGAGGCCATAGGTGCCTGAGGTCCCTCAGCTGCCAACAGCCAGACTCAGACATTCCATCTCTCTGAGTGCAAGACCCCATTCCATGAATAGCTGTCAGTTCCCATCCCATTGATTCTATCTCCCACTTTCTGCCTGTCATGGAATCTTCTCCTGGATGTGAGTGGCTGCAGGGGACGTGAGGATACAGTTCACAATCAGGCAATGGTCTGTGAGCTGAAGGCAGGGGCAGGGTGTCTGGTGCTCTCTCTAGAAAGCTCTGCCTCTGGCTCCTGCCTTGGGCCAGAGACTTTCCTGCCAGTGAGGAACACACACCTGCGTGCTCCCATCCTGCTTCCGCACAGGGCCCTGAGTTCTCTGGCCTCTGCTTCGTGAGGCTTACTTTTTTTTTTGGAGCACCAGCGATGAAGGAGAAAGAAGGGAAGGATGGTGAAGAGGATGATGGCCACTGAGTACCTAATCACAGCATGCAGGTGTCTGGCGATACCTGGAGGAAGATGAGAATCCAATAAGAAGCTAACCATAGCAGTTCCTCTTTGTGGATTGTCTCTCATTTCTTGGTTGCCAGGCAACCACATAAAACACCTCTTTAGGACAAGCACCCACGAGGCGGGAGACCCAGCTTTCTCCTGCTTTCTCCGTTATAGTTTTCATAATAACAATAGAATGTGCTGATGATACAACTGCTATTGTTTCAATGTTTGACCCCTCCAAACCCCACTTTGAAATTTAATCCCCAGTGTGGGAGGTTGTGCCTATTGGGAGGGGTGTTTTGGTCATGGGGGTGGATCCATCATGAATAGATTAATGCTGTCCCCAGAGGACGGGTTTAGCAAGTTCTCCCTCTATTAGTACCCTGGAGAGTTGATTCTTAAAAAGAGCTTGGAAGCTCCATCACACCCCCTTTCTCCCTCTCTTGCCATGTGATCTCTGTGGTCTCTGCACACGCAGGACCCCCTTCTCTTCTGTCAGTGTGGGAGCAGCCTGAGGCCGCAGCCAGAAATAGATGGTAGTGTCCTGCTTCTAGTACAGCGTGCCGATCAGTGAGCCAAACACATCTCTTTTCTTTAGAAGATACCCAGGCTCAAGTGTTCTTTTATAGCAACAAAAATAGGCTAAGACAGCAACATCCTGAGATCAGGAGGAACGTCTCAGAACAGCCTGGGCTGTCTTCCTGTTCTTCCTGGAGGAGAACATCATGCAGTGCTTTAGCTGAGTGTTCCCTGTGGCTCCAGGGTACAAAACCCAGGCTGGGCTGCTTTCTGGCTTCCCCCAGCTACAGTGCACATGAAGTGACTCCATGTGTCCTGAGCAGTTTTTCTGAGCCTTGAGGGACTGGCTCACCCTGAAAGGAAGGTTTCTGTTGTCACTCGCTGCTTATCTATAAGTAATGAACCTGCCTATGTAATGTATTCCCTGTGTGTTCTGTCTCCCTGGAGTGATGGTGAGTGATAGAAATTGGCACAGGCCCAGGTGCAGTATGGGAGGTGTTTAGAGTCTTCTCTGGGAAGACTGGACTGGGATTGATACACAGTGAATGTGCTTTACAGTTTCTACATCCACAACCCTCTTGACTCAAACAAATTACATTCTCCAAGAAAAGGAAAAAACAGTGACATTGAAATCAACATAAGTGAGGTTGAGCTGTCTTATATCAAACAGCCAGGAAATAATGATGAAGCTCGTGGGCAACATGCTACTTTTGTCATCTTGGGAGTCAGATATTAGGCTGCTGTTCCACCCGAGAGTCTGGGGGAAAGACCACCCCCTCCATCATCTGTTGCTTCAATACAGCCTGTCTTTCTGTGAATTACTCCAAAAGGTGACCAGGAGATAGTGCTGGCACTGGTCTCTGAGTCTACGATCTGAACTCCAAAGAATATTAGTTTTTACCTCCCCATGATCTATCTGTATCATTAATGTGATTGGAAGTAGGGGTGAGGTGGGGGATTTGGGTGAAGGGGCAAGTTTTGTGCCATGAACAGATCACGTTCTCTATTCCAGGACCTGTGCTGGTGGGTTTCACATTTTCCATATGATCTCATGCTCACAGAAAGCCAAATAAGGAAGATGTTTTCGCCTGATTTTCTTATGGATAGGATAAAGGATCAAAGAAGTCATTATAGAGAAATAGAAAAATGATGATTGGAATTGGTGTGCCTTTGTCATTCGTGTATGTTATATTATATTTATGTATTCTTTATTTTTATTTTTTGCCATGGAGTCTCACTCTGTCACCTAGGGTGCAGTGCAATGACGCGATCTTGGCTCACTGTAACCTCTCCCTCCCTGGTTGAAGCCATTCTCCTTCTTCAACTTCCCGAATAGCTGGTATTACAGGCACGCGCCACCACCCCCAGCTAGTTTTTGTATATTTAGTAGAGATGGGGTTTCACCATGTTGTCCAGGCTGATCTCGAACTCCTGATCTCACTTGATCCAGCCTCCTCAGCCTCCCAAAATGTTGGGTTACAGGTGTGAGCCACCGTTCAGAACCTTGTGTGTTATATTATAATAGGTCTCTTCCTTTGCACCACCCCTCATGTATCTCTCACTCCTCTGCCAAGTATTGATTTACATGTAGGAAAAATAAATCTCAGAAAGAAATCAATGAAGTGAAGATTAAACAATTAGGAAAAATCAAACCAGGCAAGCCCTCCCTGCAAATTACTCTACCTCACAAACACATCTTGTGTCCATCTTTCATTCATTTAGTGTCTAAATCAGCACCACATTTCACCAGGGGGGCGGGAATTGCCTTTTCCACAGTCTCCTAGATTCCAGTTATGCACCTGGGCCTCCCTTATTTTCATGTCAGTCACTATTCATCATGTAGGGATTCCCAGTTAGCCCCGAGGTAAGTCCAATGGCTGTGAGTATCAAACACACGCTCCTTGTTCCTCCTTAGTTTCCTGTGTACCCAGAGTGCTCTCTGTCTCTCCACAGTCGTCTTGTCATTCTCCCCATGTCATTCCCAGCATTTCAGGCAGAGCCTCTTCCTTCCACATAACATTGTTTTCACCTTTGTGCCTTCACGGCTGACAGCTGTGTGGAAAATCCTTCCGCCAATCTTCCAGGGGTTGATCTATTTTTTTCATTAAGGTCACAAGTATTATTTGATCAGTGAGAACTTCTCTGTCACCCGAAATTATACACTCAGCATTATCTATTATTTCTTTTAAAATACGGCTCGGCGCCTTGGCTCACGCCTCTAATCTCAGCACTTTGGGAGGCTGAGACGGGCGGATCCCTTAAGGTTGGGAGTTTGAGATAGCCTGGGCAACATGGTAAAACCTTGTCTGTACTAAAAAAAAATACCAAAAAAAAATTAGCCAGGCGTGGTGGGACATGGGTGTAATCCCAGCCTCTCGGGAAGCTGAGTGTAGAGAATCGCTTTAACCTGGGAGGTGGAGGTTGCGGTGAGCCGAGATCCCGCCACTGCACTCCAGCCTGGGGCACAGAGGGAGACACCGTCTCATAAAAACAACCAATCAATCAATCATTCTCATGCACAGATGCTTCCCAATGGATCATTCATTTATTGGTCCACTGGTGTATTCATTTTCTGCCCTCCCATTTAATCCTTTGCAATATCAGTGTCCAAGAGCAGAGGCCAAATGCACCTTGTTTACCATTTGTGGAAAGGATAAGAATGCCGCCCCACCCCAAAATGTTCCTGTCCTAGTCGCCATATCTTGTGAATATGTTATTTTACATGGAAAAAAGGAATGCAGATTGCAGATGGAATTACGGTTGCTAATCAGCTAACCTTAAAAGGAGGGTATCCTAGATGATTTTAGGGAAATTATGATGGATTATCTTGGTGTTTCCAATAGAATGCCAAAGTCCTTAAAAGATGAGGAAGAAGGCAGAGCAGCATTCAGAGAAAGAGGTGTGGACAAGGAAGAAGGGTCTGAGTGATGCCGTGTGAGAGGCGTGACCAGCCTTTGTGGACTTTGAGGGAGGAAGACGGGGACCAGGAGCCAAGGAATGTGGGAGCCTCTAGGAGCTGGGAAAAGTGAGGAAGCAGATTCTTGCCTGGAACATTCAGAGGGAAGGCAGCCTTGCTGTCACCTTGATTTTAGCCCAGTGAGATGATGCATTTCATACTTCTGAGCTACAGCACCATGAGATATTTTTTAAAAATGTGGTTTCCATCCACGAAGCTTGTGGAAATTTGTTATGGCAACATAGGAAAAAGTTCCACACTGCACAGTCTGAGCATGGGGCAGTGGCTGAACGAGTAAGTGGAAGTGTCATGTGCACGGATGAACTACGTTCTCTCTTACCGCAAAGCTCTTGTTCCACTAAGTCAACCAGGGTTGGATCATGACAGACAGGAGCTCATTCCTTGGCAAGTAGAACTTCTCTACAAACACACCACCCTCAAAAATGTTCCCCTTCCTTCCCCTTCTCAAGCCCCCAGGCATTTGTCCTCCCAGTTAGGAATGCAGGCAGAACAAACACAGCATTTTTCCTGAGAAGAATGTCTGATTTGCACTCATCCTTCTACCCTGAGGTCTCAGCAGCAGAAAATTAGAGATTAAGAGATTTCACTGAGCCCTGTGCTGGGCCCAGATCCCTTTCGCTGTTGGAGTGTCTGGGGTTCAGAGACAATGGAAGACAGGCCCACAATCACAGAGCTGGCAGGTGCTGAGCCAACGCTTGAATCCAAGGCTTCTACCTCCCCAGGTTTCCAAAAGCAGAGATAAGAGGGGTCCTTCACTTACCAGTTTTGAAGCTTGGTTCAGTGGGTGAAGGCCAACTACTAGAAGGGTTTCCTAGAACATGGGACAGGAGAGAGGTGTGGCAATGAGGATGCCTGTCTTTTCTACTCAATGGAAATCTTTGAGGTTGGTTCATGGCCAACCTTCTATTATCTAATGTTGGGCCCTGGGAGTCCTGGCATCCCATTCTCCATAATCATTGTAGGTGACACCAACTATCTTGAGACTTCAAGGTATAAGGAGAAAACAGGAGCATCACACTACCTGACTTAAAAATATGTTACAGAGCTGTAGTAAGCAAAACAACATGACATTGGCATAAAGAAAAGCACATAAAACAATGAAGCAGAATGAAGAACACGGATGTAATCCAGCCATTTACATCCAATGGACTTTGACAAAGGTTCGAAGAATCTACAATCTGGAAAGGACAGTCATTTCAATAAATGGTGCAGGGAAAACTGGATATCTACATGCAGAGGGATGAAACTGCACCTCTACCTCTCACCATACACAAAAATCAGATGAAAATGGATTAATGACTTAAGACCTGAATCCATTAAATGTCTAAAAGGAAACACTGGAGAAATGCTCCAGGACATTTGTCTGAGGGAAGACATTTTGTTTAAAACCTCAAAAACACAAGTAATCACAACAACAACAAAAAAAATAGACCATTGGGATTATATCAAATCAAGCAGCTTCTGCACCGCAAAGGAAGCAACCAATGAAGTGAAGAAGAGAAAACCCACAGAATGGGAGCAAATATTTGCAAACTATGCATCTGAGATGGGATTAATAACTAGAATATAAAAGAAGCTCAAACACCTCAATAAAACTAATAATTTAATTATAAAATTAGTAAAAGACCTGAACAGACATTTCTCAATGAACAAAACATACAAATGAACATATATACATTGCATATATGAAAAAGTGCTCAGTATCACTAATCATCAGAGAAATGCAAATGAAGTCACAATGAGCTATCATCTCACCCCATTACAATGGGTTTTATCTCAGAGACAGACAAAACAAATGTTGGCAAGGTGGTGGAGAAAGGAGAACCCTGATACACTGTTGATAGGAATGTAAATTAATACAGCCATTACAGAGGAGAAGAATATGGAAGTTCCTTAAAAACTGAAAAGAGATTAGGCACTGTGGCTCACGCTTGTAATCCCAGCACCTTGGGAGGCTGAAGTGGGCAGATCACTGGAGGTCAAGAGTTCGAGACCAGCCTGGCTAACATGGTGAAACCCCGTCTCTACTAAAAATACAAAAATCAGCCAGGCTTGGTGGCGGGCACCAGTAATCCCAACTACTCGGGAGGCTGAGGCTGGAGAATCACTTGAATCCTGGAGGTAGAGGTTGCAGTGAGCCCAGGTGGTGCCATTGCACTCCAGCTTGGGCAACAAGAGTGAAACGCTATGTCAAAAAAACAAAAAGCATAAAACAAAACCTAAAAAGAGAACATCCAGAGGATCTAGCAATTCCACTAGTGGGTGTAAATGCAAAGAAAAGGACTTCAGTGTATTGAAGTGACATCTGCACTCCCATGACTGTTCCAGCACTGTTCACAGTAGCCAAGATGTGGAGTCAACCTACCTGCCCATCAGTGGATGAATGGATAGAGAGAATGTAGTACATACACACAATGGAGACAACTCATCCATAGAAAGAGTAACGTCCTGTCATTTGCAGCCACATGGATGGACTAGAGGTCATTACAAGGATTGCCATTTCTTACTCACATGCAGGATGTAAAAGGTGGACCTCATGAAGGTAGAGAGTAGAATGGTGGATACCAGAGGTTAGGAAGGAAGGGGTGGAGGGTAACAAAAGAAGAATATAAAAGTATTTATTTATTTATTTATTTAGAGACAGAGTCTCTCTGTGTCACCAGGCTGCAGTGCAGTGGCATGATCTCAGCTCACTGCAACCTCCTCCTCCTGGGTTTAAGCCACTCTCCCGCCTCAGCCTCCCAAGTTGCTGGGATTATAGGCGCCTGGCACCATGCCTGGCTAATTTTATTTTTTTTGTCTTTTTAGTAAAGATTGGTTCCCCCATGTTGGCCAGGCTGGTCTCCAGCCCCTGATTTTAAATGATCCACCTGCCTTGGCGTCTCAAAATGCTGAGATT
Organism: Homo sapiens; assembly: GCF_000001405.40. NCBI lineage: Eukaryota > Metazoa > Chordata > Mammalia > Primates > Hominidae > Homo > Homo sapiens. Next base: position 82,684 of record NT_187676.1, on the reverse strand, counting down.
ACAGGCGTGAGCCACCGCACACAGCATATAAAGGTATTTATGATCCCTAGATTTTACACTTAAAAATGGTAAAGTTGATAAATTATATAGGTATATTTAACCTCAATCAGCATTTTTTCAAAGGAAAAGAAAAAGTGTAGGGGTTGCTGGTGATGACATCTCTGTGTAGGTGAGAGGCCAGGGTGGGCTTCTGGGAAATGGGTAAGGTTGAGGGGCTGAGGGAACCTCTGATCTCCCCAAACTGAGCCCAGTCTCCCTCCTCTGGGTCTGTCCTGACCACTTTCTCCATCTGCCTGGGTACCCGGAGCCCTTACTGCAAGCTTCCATGCAGGCCATGCAGGAGGGTTTGGAGGTGCCCTGTCTGCCATCCTGTGCCCTGATCCCGCCCTCACACCATGCTGCATCTTCTCTCCACATCTGTCCATGCTTCTCTCCATCATCAGCAGGAAGCTCCTCAGCTAAGGCTCTAGGACCATAGGACATGGGACAGACATTGGCTTTCCTCACCTGTGACAGAAACAGGCAGTGGGTCACTCGCGTCTGACCACTCGTAGGGAGATCCATGGAAAGAGCCGAAGCATCTGTAGGTCTCTCCGTGGGTGGCAGGACCCAGAGGGAAGTCGGCCTGGAATGTTCCATTGATGCTGGGCACTGCAGGGAGCCTAAGTTCATGGGCTTCCCCCTCCCTGGATAGATGGTAGATGTCAAAGGAGCTCTGGGAGCTGCAGGACAAGGTCACGTTCTCTCCTGTGCGAACCGTGGGGCCCGGCCGGGCTGTAAGCGAAGGTTTCTCATATAGACCTGGAAGGAGAAGAGGCAGTTTCCTCAGGGAGGTTCTTCCTTGTCACAGCTCCCCTCCCACCTGAGCTGAGAACTCACTGCCCTGCTCTATGGCCTAGTGCTCTCTCTCTCTCTCTCACCCTCCACCCCCAACTCTTCCTGTCGATCCCTCCCTATGTGGTTCCAGCCTGGTGGTGGCATCAGCAGTGCACCCTTGCTGATCTCAGGGTAGCCAACCTTCTTGTTTGGTTTTTTAACTTGTCCTTCACCTGGGTTCCTGTGTTGGTTTCCTGTTGTTGCTGGAGAAAATTATCACAAACATGGCGACAGGAGAGAACACACTGACCCCTTCCACTTCTGGAGACAGAAATCAGACCCTGTTCTTCCTGGGCTACAATCAAGGCATCTGCAGGGCTGCATTCCCTCTGGAGACTCGGGAGAATCAGTTCCATTGATTTCTCCAGCCCCTTCGTGGCTCGTGGTCTTCCTCCACCTTCAAAGCCCACAGTGGCTGGTGGAGTATCCCACGATGCTGCTCTAATCCCCATTCTCCTCTTCCTTCTCCACTCATATGGACCCTTGTGATTACACTGAGCCCAGTGGGAGAGTCCAGGCCATCTCCCCATCTCAAGGTCAACTCATCAACAACCTGAGCTCCATCTTCCCCTTCAGTCCCCTGCCCTATAACATAGTCACAGGCTCCAAGGATTACAATGTGGCCATCGATGGGGACAGTTATTCTTTCCAACACAGCACCCATTCCCCTGTATTCAATCCCCCTTTACCCCAAATATAGTTGGGGCCTGGATGATCGGACTCTGGTGGACACCCCCACCAGAAGCTCTGGGACTCAGGAGGTGGGACAAGGAGAAGCCCAGACAGGAGCCCTCTGACCTGTGACCATGATCACCAGGGGGTTGCTGGGTGCCGACCACTCAGTGGGGGAGTGCGGGTGAAAACCTCGACATCTGTAGGTCCCTGCGTGTGCTGGGGTCACAGGGCTAATGAGGAAACTGTTCCAGAATATTCTGTTGTAGAGCTCAGGGACAGGGACCCCATCTTTCTTGTACAGCGTGAAGATGTTAAACCCACGACGATAGTGACACCGAAGAGTCACGTGTCCTCCTTGAGGCACCACAGCGCTGGGCCAGGCAGAGCAGAAGGGCTTGTCCTGACCACCTTGGGGAGAAGGAGATGCCGCCTCAGAGAGGAGTATGTTGAGCTGCCCCTCCCTCCCTGTGCTCAGAAGATTCTCCCCATTTCTTCTTTCTAAGGCTCCTACCACACCTGGGTGCCTGGGGCTACAGGAAGGACCCATCCCGCATAGACGTGGCATCTCCCTACAACAAAAGTGTCAGTTGAGAACTGAGCAGGTGCTGAGTAAGGGACTCTTACTAGATTTTAATACTGCAAGATTAGTTACACCAAACAACACAAAGTAGACATGGGGTGGAGGGTATGACCTTTGTGAATGGAATATTAGCTAATGCCTGAACCACAATAAACAACTGAGCTCCATCAGAGGATTTGGAATGGCAGGGTCGTGGCTGTGGTTCCCCCACCTCTTCTGGCAGAATGACAGCAGCCACACTGCAGCCCCTACCGTCATGGAAACGCTGGAGGGTGTGAGTTACCCTCTTGTCCTCAGAGGACCTGCTGTTCCTAACACTGCTACCCTTCCCTCCTCTGTCGGTGACACCACATCCCCCCACACACCCCAGCTTTGAGCACCTCAGTATCCCGCCTGGGCCACACAGAGCTCAACTCAGCCATGGGGAAGAAAGGCTGGGGAGGGCTAAGACAAAACAGAGGGCTGAGCATACCAGGATCTCCTCTTACTAGTTCATGAGAGACTCCCAGGATCTCCTCTTACTAGTTCATGAGAGACTCCCAGGATCTCCTCTTACTAGTTCATGAGAGACTCCCAGGATCTCCTCTTACTAGTTCATGAGAGACTCCCCCCAGGCCTTCCCATGGTCAGCCCATCAGCCCACCCTCTGTGCTGCCTCCCTCCCATTTCCGGAAAATTCACTTGTATTGGGGTGAAGATGGCAACCCATCATTTGGGGAAGGACTCACCCACGTGTGCCCACACACTCTGGTCCAAGAAGAACCCTGCAAAGAAAGATCATGATGAACTATTCATCTCGGCACCAACCTACCCTTTCCTCCTGAGCCACTGGGCGCCACGCTGGACTGAAAATTAACTCATCCTCACCACTCACTTGCTTCAGAACATGGCTCTCTGCTGGGGAGACACCCAATCTGCAGGCCCATAGTGTAACCCTGGTGCTCCTTCCCTTCCAGGACTCACCAAGACATGCCAGGATGATGACCGTGGGTGACATGGACATGGTGCAGCTTCTGCTGCCAGGACGCAGTGACTCGGCTCGACTGACCGGTGCAGAGGATGTGGTGAGGGGCCCGGATCGTGCAGTTGACACATTGACCACAACATGTGAAGGGGACATAGGTAGGCTTCTTCTACGTCATATGAGGTTCAAGTGGTGAGTCAGTCAAGGGAGGAATGAGGGTTTCTGAAAACTGCAGACTAGACTTGTCAGTTCACATCATGCGCAACGGCCAGGCTCAAAACACATCTCAGACTCACTTACCCCTGCACGGGACGATTGAATTCTGCACTCACATGAGGAACTTTTGATGTATTTTTTTTTGTTTCTACCTGAGATTCAAACTCTCCTTGATATGTAATATGCAAAATACCTAATAGGTTTTATTAACACTATAGAGCAATCGTATTAAATAAATCATCATAATTTTCCATGGTTGTATTTTTCCTGTTAAGCCAGAAACAGATAAAATGATTTAAATCCCAGTAGAAAAGACTATATAGTTATTTCGCATCATAGAATTCCACCTTATTAGCAAAAACACAATATGTCAATTGAAGGTCTGGTCGTGTTATCTAGAATTTGTCTTATGACACAAGAGTCCAAATTCACAGTTCCCTGTCTCCCTTTTTGTCTCTCTGTAACGTGTGCTTTTTTTCTCCCTGTGTTGTTTGTGTGTCTTTCTTTCTCTCTCTCATTTGAGGAAAAAATATCAGACTGATAACATCCTCCAACTTGATACTGGAATATTGCAATAACTGAAGGTTGAAATCTACACATTTAATGTGCTGTCATTCTTACAAATGTCTCTTATTTACACCTACCTTTCTGGAGTTTGTAAGAACTTTTTCACTATGCATTTTAAATTTGTAAAACTCATAATTTTTAAAAAGGGATGGGTCTCACTGTTTGCCCAGGGTGGCCTTTACTCATTCTATAAGGCTGGCATCACCCTGATACTAAAGACAGAAAAGAATATTAAACAAAAGAAAACTACATGCCAATATTCCTGATGAGCATAGATGCAAAAATCCACAAAAAATACTAAGAACTGAATCCCGCAGCATATCAAAAAGTGAATCCACCATGATCAAGTCAACTTTATTCTTAGGGTGCAAGGTTGGTTGAACATACACAATCAATACATGTGATTCATCACCTAAACAAAACTAAAAACAAAAACCACATGATCTTCTCAACACACATGTAGAACATACTTTTTACTAAGCATTTCTTCATGTTAAAAGCCCTCAACAAGCTAAGCATTGAAGAAACATAACTCAATATAATAAGAGCCGCCTATGACAAACCCACAACCAACATCATACTGAATGAGTAAAAGCTGGAAGAAGTTCCCTTCATAAGTGAAACAAGACAAGAATGCCCACTCTCACCATCCTATTCAACATAGTACTTGAAGTCCTAGACAGAGCCATCAGGAAAGAGAAAGAATTATAAGGCATCCAAGTAAGAAGAGAGTAGCAGAGAGAGGTAGTCAAATTACCTCTGTTTGAAGATGAGATAATTTCTATACCTAGAAACCCCATAGTCTCTGCCCAAAGGCTCCTACATCTGAGAAACAAACTTCAGCACAGTTTAAGGGCAGAAAGTCAATGTACAGGCTGGGTGTGGTGTCTCAGCCTGAAATCTAGCACTTTGGGAGGGCGAAGCGGGTGGATCACCTGAGGTCTGGAGTTCGAGACCAGCCTGGCCAACATGGCGAAACCCTGTCTCTACTAGAAACACAAATATAGCCGGACGGGGTGGTACGCAACTGTAGTCCCAGCTGCTTGGGAGGCTGAGTCAGGAGAACCGCTTGAACCTGGGAGGCAGAGGTTGCAGTGAGCGGAGATCACGCCATTGCACCTCAGCTTGGGCAACAACAGTGAAACTGCGTCTCAAAAAAAAAGCCAAAACAAATTTAATTAATGAGGAAAAGGGTATTTGTGGTGTCCATCATGATGTTTTCATATAGGTACACATTGTGGAATGGATGAAACAACCTCTTTATCTATTTATTTTTTCACATACTTGTATGTTTTGTGTGTGTGGTGAGAACATGTAAAATCTAATCTCTTAGTAATGTTCAATACACCATATGTTGCTATTAAATGGAGTCACCAAGACATACAATAGATCTCTTGAACCGATTTCTTCTAACTGAAATTTTGCATCCTTTGACCAACATCTCTTCAATCTCTCTCCTTCCCAGGTTCTTTCGACGACCATTTTACTGTTCCTCTAGGTTCCACTTCTTACACTCCACACATGAGATCATGTGGCATTTGTCTTTCTGTGCCTGGATTGTTTCCCTTAACATAATGTCCTCTAAGTTTTTTCACATTGTCACAAATGAGAGGACTTCCTTCTTTGTTGTAAAGGTTGTATAGTACTTCATTACGTTCCTATCGTATACCACGTTTTCTTTGTCCATGCACCCATAGATGGGCAGTAAGGGTGATTCCACATCTTGGCTGTTATGAATAATGCGGCTGTAAACATGGGAATGCAGATATCTCTTCAACATACTGATTCCACTTCCTTTGGATACATGCGCAGTAGTTGGATTGCAGACACATATGGGAATTCTATGTTTAATTTTTTCAGGAACTTCCAGACTGTTTTCCATAATGGTTGTGCTAATTTACATTCCCATCAACTGCATACAAATGTTCCCTTTTCTCCACATCCTCGTTAACCCTTGTTATTTTTTATGTTTTTGATAATGGTCTTTTTTTTTTTTTTTTTGAGACTCAGTCTTGCTCTGTCACCCAGGCTGGAGTGCAGTGGCACAATCTCGGTGTACTGCAACCTCTGCCTCCTGGGTTCAAGCGATTCCCCTGCCTCAGTCTCCAGAGTAGCTGGGACTACAAGTGTGCGCCACCAAACTCTGCTAATTTTTGTATTTTTAGTAGGGATGGGATTTCACCATATTGGCCAGGCTGGTTTCGAACTGCTGACCTCAGGTAATCTCCCTGCCTCGGCCTCCCAAAGTGCCTGAATTACAGGCATGAGCCACCATGCCCAGACTGTTAATGGTCATTCTAAGAGGTGTGAGGTGATATCTCATTCTAGTTTTAATTTTTATTTAGCTGATGTTTAGTAATGCTAATCATTTTTTCATATACCTTTTGGTGATTTGTCTTATTCTTAGAAATGTTTATTCAGATACTTTGCCCATTTTTTTAAGTTGGGTTATTTGATTTCTTACCATTGAGTTGTTTGAGTTTCTTATATATTTTGGATATTAATTCCTTATTAGATGTATGGGTGCAAATATATTCTCCCATTCCATAGGTTGTCTTTCCACTTGTTGAGTTTTTTTTTTTCTTTGCAGAAACTTTCAATTTGATATAATGTTATTTGTCTACTTTTGCTTTTGTTGCCTGGGCCTTTGGGTTAATATCCAAAATGGTTTTGCCCAAGCCAGTGGAGTTTTCCCTTGATTTCTTTTAGTAGTTTTTTTTTTTTTTAAGATGGAGTCTCACTCTGTTGCCCCGGCTGGAGTGCAGTGATGCGATCTCGGCTCACTGCAACCTCTACCTCCTGGGTTCAAGTGATTCTCCTGTCTCAACCTCCCGAGTAGCTGAGATTACAGGCACCCACAACCACACCCAGCTGTTTTTGTATTTTTAGTAGAGGCGGGATTTCACCATGTTGGCCATGCTGGTCTTGGAATCCTGACCTTAGGTGATCTGCCCGCCTTGGCCTCCCAAATTGCTGGGATGATAGTCTTTCATCTTACATTTAAGTCATTAATCTATCTTGAGTTGACTTTGTATGTTTTGTGAGGCAAATGTCCACTTCCATTCTTCTGCATGTCTCCCAATCCCATTTATTAAAGAGACTGTTCCTTCTCCATTGTGTGTTCTTGATACATCCCAAAAATTGTTTGACCCTAAATGCGTGCATTTTTTTTCCTGGGCTATGAATCACTTCCATTGGTCTATGTGTCTGTTTTTATGCAAGTACTGTGTTGTTTTAATTACTGTAACTTTGTAATGTAGTTTGTGTTTAGGTAATGTGATGCTTCCAACTTTGTTCCTTTCCCTCTAGATGGCTTTGGTTATTTGAGATCTTTTGTGGTTCCACATGAATTTTAGGACTGTTTTTTCTATTTCTGTAAAAAAAAATGTCATTGGATTTTTGATAATGGTTGCATTGAATCACTTTGGATAGAATGGACATTTTAACAACATTAATCCTTCTGATCCGTGAACATGGAATATCTTTCGATTTATTTGTTTATTTCTTGAGTTTTTTCATCAATGTTTTATAGCTTTTGCATACAGATCTTTCTACTCCTTGGGTGAATTTATTCCTGCATGTTTTGTTTTCTGTAGTTATTGCAAATGGGCTTATTTTCTTGTAAACTTTTTTGGATAGTTTGTTGTTAATGTATAGAAACTTTGTTGTTGTTGTTGTTGTTGTTTTGATGATACCCATCCTAAGGGGTATGAAATGGCATCTGGTGTAGTTTTAGTTAGTATTTCCCTAATGATTCGTGATGCTGAATATCTTGTCATGCGTATGTTCTTTGGAGAAATGTCTGTTTCAGTACTTTGCCCATTTTTGAATTGAGTTTATTGTGATTGAGTTTTAGGAGTTGTCTGTATATTCTGGATGTTAATCCCTTACAGGTGGTGTGGTTTGAAAACATTTTCTCCCATTCTGTGGGTTGTCTTTTTACTTTGATAATATCGTCTTAAAAGTTCTTTTTCCTTGCCATGTGAAGTAACTGATGTTGTCTTTTGAGTCACAATATTTCAAAATTTTCATAAAGTCTAACTTGTTTATTTTTTCTGTAGTAGCCTGTGCCGTTGTTGTCACATCTAAAGAATCACTGCCAAATCCGATGTTGTGAAGTTTTCCTTTGTGTTTTCTTCTAAGACTTTAATTAAATTTTATTTGTCAATATTTAGGACTGACAAAAGCTTTTTAACATTCCTGGCACCATCTCAGTTATTGATCTACTCCCAAGATGGATCATTTCAATTAAAACATGTAAAGCATGACCTCACCTGAATGTGTTTGAACTTGCTCTTCTCCCTTTCAAATCGACTCCCTCACTTACATAGTTTGTGTTCAAATGTCAACAAATAAAACATAAAAAGAAATCAATCTTTTCATAGACCCTTTATCTAAAATAGAATAGTAGGTGCCATGACATTTCATCCTTTCATCTTGAATTATTTACTTTTCTACATGAACCAATCCATTCTTCTGTGTGCATGTGTGTGTGTGTGTGTGTGTAGTTTATCTGTCTACATATAATGTAAACACCAAAAAATAACAGACATTTAGTAATTTTCAAATGAGACTTCAGGAATTAACAATGGCTTGCCATTTTTAGTGTGTTATTATTATTATATTTAGATGAACAGAATTGCCTCAGGAACATGGCCAGGGGCTCATAGTCCAGGAGAACTGTGGCCTGACTCAGGTACATTTTACCTGCAATAACAGCAATTGCAGGTCACTGGAGTCCATCACAATTGGCTGGAGACAAATGTAAGACAAGAATATTTGCAGTTTCCCCAGACTGACACAGTTGCAGGTTCCCCGAAGTAATGAGTCCTGAGACACCTCCAACAAGAGCTAGAAAAGGTATCACTTCAAGAGGAGTTGCAGCCTACTCATTTTAGACAAATGGAGCAAAATTACAGTATCACATCTTTTCCTTTCTCCTTCATAGAATCTGGATGAACAGAACAGAAAGAGTTAATGGAATATAAGATTCCAATTCTCTGGCATGAGAAAATAGACAAGGAAAGGAAGATTCATCTTCATCACATCTCAGACATGCTTGGACACAGGGTCCAAGCACAAAAGAGAAACACATACTTCTTCCCATCCACACTGGGATCCAGGGTCTTCTCCCTCCTGTCAGGCCAGAACTGAGTCTCCACTCCCCAATTTAGTTCCCAGAGATGAAGCCCAATTTTCCTCTGTCTCAAGCTTTGAAGGCCAGCTTTAGCATGTTCACCATGGATGAATGAAGGTGAGGTCAGAGGTTTGGGAAATGGTCAAGAATGAGGTGAGAAGAGAGCTGTGGAGGCATGGCCCCGGGGAGCTTGGTACCCCCCCATATCCAGAGCCTGTCTGGTCCAGGAGAGTTCCCAACCCTGTGAGCACCAACTCCGGATATTCTGGGCAGTGACTCGAGGGACAGCCTCTTATGAATACAGGCTGTTTTCCTCCAGTGTCTGCTGTGAAACCAGGATGTACAACATGGCCGTGTTCAACCCAACAATGGACTTAGGATTTTGCTGTACGCCAAAACTCAGTGTCCAACTTCCACTCTGTTTAGCTGGAAAAAGAAGGGGTTTGTTCCCATACATCTCACTCCTGTGTTCCTCTTTCAGTCTCAAAGCTCAGATGAAAACAATGAGTGTCACTTATTGTCAATCCTCTTCCCTGCCTTTTCCACACTCATCAGTATTACCGTTTACATTGAGACTAAAGATGGCCAATCACCACTTTTCTTCGGAAAAATCAACCTGATGTTGTACCTACTTTTTTAGAGGTGGAATCAACCTACTCTAAGATGCCAACTACATTTTACTGAATGGACTTTTGTGGATCCCCTCGATGTATATAGTGGCACCTTGAGGTATCATCCCTGTCTTTAGCAAATGAATATTATCCCAAGGACAATATTTCATCACAATTATTCGGGATGGACGAGTGGATATTGTGGTAGCAAGAACATTACTAAAAGTCACAGCTGATACAACACACTTGAAACCCATCTGGCCGATCTCCCACAGACAGAATGTCGCGCCATTCACTCCAGCCAGCTTCAGTCATGTTTCTTCCATTTCCACCTGTGGCCCCTCATGTCTCCACCAGGTCTTAGCCAGCATTGCCAAAAGAGCCAGGAAGACCAGACCAGCCACAACAATCCTGATGGAACTCTCCACAGTATAGTTCTGGAGAACAGGGGCTGGAGGGTGGGGGTAAGATCAGAGACCTTTCCATGTGGGCCAGGCCCCTCTCTCCCCAGAAGCTCTGAAATGGAGCTATTTCCCCATCTCACCTTCATAAAATTCTTCCTGTCCAGAACCCCTCTTCTCCCTATATCATCATGAGCACCTTCAGAAGTCTTTTGCCACAAAAAGAAATTTCTTTTGAAGATATACATTTTTTTGTACATTTCAAAAATGTTCCCAAACTAATTCTCCAAAGCAATAAATGTTTGTGTGTATTGCTGGGTAGGTTATGCATACAAGGAAAGGAAGCATAGTGAGTCTGATTTGGCAGAGGAAACATATGTGGAAATTATATCATTTACTCTCTTTACAAAATTAAGTACAAAATTGAAAACACTGGTAAGAAAGAATGAGCTATAGAGAAAGAAAACATCTGAGATGCTTGTTTCCAAGATGGCTGACTAAATGCTTTTCTGGCATGTCTCATCCACTTAGAAGAACGAGCAGAATCCAGAACAAAAACCATATGATCATCTCAATAGACATAAAGAAAAGCATCTGAAAAGAAATTCAACATCCTTACCTGATGAAAACCCTCAAAAACTTAGGCATAGAAAGAACATACCTCAAAATAATAAAAGCCATAGATGACATATCTAGAGTCAACATCATACTGAACAGGAAAAGTTAAAAGCACTCCTCTGAGAACTGGCACAAGACAAGGACACGGACATCCACCACTTCCTATCAACATAGTACTGGAAGCCTTGTCAGAGCTATTGGGCAACAGGAAGAATTAAAAATCCAAATTAGAAAAGAGGAAGTAAAATTATTTTTATTTCTGATGCTATGATCTTAAATCTAGAAAATCCTAAAGACCCTGCCAAAAATTCTTATGATTGATAAATGAACTAAGTAAAGTTTCAGAATACAAAATCAATATGTAAAAGCCGGTAGCATTTCTCTACACCTATAATGATCTAGCTGAGAACCAAATCAAGAAGGCAATGCCGTTTACAATAGATACGCAAAATTAAAACACTCAGGAATACATTTAACCAAGGTGGTGAAAGAGCTGTACCAGGAAAGGTGTAAGACACCAATGAAAGCAATTATAGATAATACAAAAAAAAAAAAAGAAAAAAAATCCCACGCTCATGGATCATAAGAATTAATATTGTTAAAATGACCATACTGCCTAAAGCAATCTACAGATTCAGTGCAATTCTTATATGAAAATAGTAACACCAGCTTTCACAGAATTAGAAAAAGCAATCCTAAAATTCATACAGAACCAAAAAAGATCCTAATAGAGAAAGCAATTCTAGGTGAATGTAGAAACCTGGAGGCATCACGCTATCTGACTTCAAACTATGCTCTAAGGCTATAGTAACTTAAATAGCACAGTGCTGGTATAGACACAGAAACAGAGATCAATAGACCAGAATAGAGAGCCCAGAAATACAGCCTCATATCTACAGTGAATAATCATTGACGACGTTAACAAAACATACACTGGAGAAAGATTTCCTTTTCAATAAAAGGTGCTGGGAAAACTAAATAGCCATATGCAGAAGAATAAAACTGGACCTGTATCTGTAATCATACACATAAATTAACTTAAGGTAATTAGCAGCTTAAATGTAAATCCAGAACTATAAAATCACCGGTGGAAACCCAAAGAGAAACTCTTCTGGGCATTGGTCTGGGCAAAGAATTCATCACTAAGACCTCAAAAGCACAGGCAATAAAAATAAAACTAGACCAATGGGACTTAATAAACGAAAGAGCTTCTGCCAAGCAAAGGAAATAGTAGCAGGGTGAACAGACAACCCACAGAATGAATGGAAATGTTTGCAAACTATGCACCCAACAGAGGACTAACATCCAGAATTTCTAGGCAACTCAAACAACTAAACATAACCCCTCAAATAATAGCATTAAAAAGTGGGCAAAGGGATATACATAGACATTTTTCAAAAGAAGACATACGAATGGCCAAACAGCGTATGAACATCACTAATCATCAGAGAAATGCAAATTGAAACCACAATGAGATATCATCTTACAGTAGTCAGAATGGCTATTACTAAAAATGCTGGTGGGGAGTGGTGGCTCACGCTTGTAATCCCAGCACTTTGGGAAGCTGAGGCGGGTGGATCATGAGGTCAGGAGTTTGAGACCAGCCTGACCAACATAGTGAAACCCCATCTCTACTAAATATACAAAAGATTAGCTGGGCATGGTGGTGTGGTTCTGTAATCCCAGCTACTCAGGAGGCTGAGGCAGGAGAATCATTTGAACCTGGTTGGTGGAGGTTGCAGCGCGTGGAGATGGCGGCACTGCACTCCAGCCTGGGTGACAGTGGAAGACTCCATCTCAAAAAGAAAAAAAGAAAAAGTGAAACATATAACAGGTGTTGGCAAGGATGCAGAGAAAAGGAAACTCTTATACACTGTTGGCCGGTATGTAAATTAGTATAGCCTCTATGGAAGACAGTATGGAAATTTGGCAGAGAACCAAAAATAGAAGCACCATTCGATCTAGGGGTCCCGCTGCTGGGTATCTACTCAAAAAATACCTGCACCTGTATGTTTATTGCAGCACTGTTTGCAATAGCAAAGATATGAAATCAATCTAAGTGTCTGTGAATGAATGATTGGATTAAAAAAAGGATGCGTGTATACACAACGAAATACTATTTGGTCATAAAAATAAAACCATGTCTTTTGCAGCAACATAGATGGAGCTGGACGCCATTATTTTACATAAAACCACTCAGAAAGACAAATACCACATCTTCTCACTCTACATGGGAGGGGAGTAATGTGTACATATGGACGTAGAGTGTGGAATGACGGACAGCGGAGGCTAGAAGGCTGGAGGGTGGCGGGACGTGGGTGAGTGATGAGAATTTGCTTAATGAGTACAATGTACGGTATTTGGGTGATGGATATAGTAAAAGTCCTGACTTCACTACTCTGCAACATACTCATGTCACAAAATTACAAGTGTACCTCATAAATTTATACTAATAGAAAAGAAAGTCTGTACACAGTAATCAATTGTGATATGTAGATAAAGTCAATATTAAATTTAAACCAGAATAACTAGTTAAAATGTTGTGTACACAACAGTGAAGAGAGTATTTATCCTCTATGACAGAGGAAACCATCAATATTAATGCACAGAAAAAGCAAATAACTGAAACAAGAAAGAGCAGTTTTGTGACAGGGTAAAAATTGACAACAGTTTTAGAATGCTCCTAACTTGAGTTCCAAAAAGAAAGAACGAGAAAACAGGTCAGAAGCAATCTTTAAAGAGGCAATTGTTGATTATTTGGAGGAAGTAGACACATCCATCAATCCACAGGTTCAAGAAATCCAGTGAATGCCAGGCAGAATGAAGTAAACACACCTCACGTTCAACATTACAGAAAAGCAGCATAAAAGCACAACCAACCCTTAAAATTAGCCAGAGGAAAAGGATCAGCTGGTAAGGATTTATAGGGAGCCAAGCATTGTCTTCCCCACAGAAAAAAGGAAAACATAAGCCAGTAGAATAGCATCTTTACCCAGCTAAGATACCGTCGCCAGCCACCGACAATTCCTTACATAGTACAGTTACTGTCCAAGATCAACGCAGGAAAGAAACAGAACTGAAAGACAAAAGGGCAAAGAAAGCTTTTCTCACTGACCCTAAAGGAAATTCTGATGACCGTGCCTCAAAGATAAAGAAAGTGAAACCAGATGGGGTGTCGAAGATTCTGACAATAACTAAGAGCAGAGGAAGAACTAAAAATATGGCTATGCCAAAAATGAATATGGACCATACGATAGTGTATGAAAACACGCCCCTGTGTAATTTCTGAAAAAGATAGAATTATGTATACCACAAAACAAAACATCATATAAGTAAATACAAACATATGTACTAAATATGCTCTAAAATCCTGTTCTTACACAGGAAGAGTGGAAATATGTTTTTATATTTGCAGTTTAATCTCTGAAATGATTAATTTCAATTTTAAAAATATGTAACAACTTCAGGATGAGTACACCATATATGTATTCCTAAACGACATAGATCAAAAATAGAATGTTTGAAATAGAAAACCACAGAAGTCAGTGGGAAAAAAAGGGAATCAGGAAAACACAACGTAATAATAACAAAAATATGATTGGAAGAACTGCTCAAACATGAACAAAAGATTGTCAGAAAGTCTTACTTTCTAAGGCGAATTGTTTGAAATTTACAAAGGACACATCTCAATGTTAACAATTCATGGAGTTTGAAATTAAACAATGTAGAAATATACCAAGCAATCACTGTTAGAAATGTGGTATAACTATATTAAAATTAGACAAAATTAGTCTTTGGGAAAAATCAGCGGAAAACATTAAGCATAAAATGTAGGAAAAAAGCAGGTAAATTTATAGCATTTTAAATTTACCAGGAATATATAATCAGTTTACACTTAACCACTCCCAGTAATATTCCTGCAAATATACATGGAGGAAGAGTCGCGGAAATAAATGGACAGGTAGGCAAATCCACGGCCACAGTGGGGTGTTTAACACTCCTCTTTTCTCAGTTGTTGATAGAAGTGGTTCAGGCAATTAGAGAGGATTTAGAAAGATAATTGCTGGACCTGACCCAAGGTATAAGTCCACTCCCAACCACAGGACTCACTTTCCTTACAAGCACAAGGGCATTTAGAAATCTCTCTGGATTCTGACCAGCCCTCACCATATGGCAGGTCCATGGACTTCTTGGAACACACCAAGCTCATTCTCACATTAGGGTCATCCCCAATGTCCTAAGTCCATGAAAGTTCCTTTCAACACACTCCCCAGGGCTCACTCCCTCTTGTCTCTAAGATCGGAGTTTAAATGTGATCTCTCTGATGAGGTCTCAGTGAGACGTTCCCTCCTGTACACTCCAAATGACAACGTTCCACGTTCATTCATTTCATTCTGTGCATGGCACTTTCACCAAGTGCTAAGGATTCACTCACTAATTCATACATTCATTCATTCATTCATTCACTCATTCCATCATTCACTCATTCATTCATTCTCTCATTCATTCATTCATGTTCTGCCTCTCTCTCCCACCCCACAGCAATGTGAGCATCATGAACCCAGGAGCTTGGCCGTGCTGTCTACTCCTGGCCGTGAAACAGAGAGAACTGATGGTAGGTGTGAAATAAATATTAGATGAATGAGTTAGTGAAGGGGTCATTTACTGGGTGAGCTCAGTTCTCTCTACTCTAATGCCCTCCCTCGGCTGACTTCCCTGAGTTGCCCCCTCGGCTGAGTGAAGTCCCTTCACTGGCAAATGGAACCTCAACCAGTAGCACCTAGGTGGTCTCATACTTTGTTCTTTCCCTCTCCTCTTGCTCCCTAAGGATTATCAATCTCCATGACAGGGCTGGAGAGCAGACAAGCCACACATTCTTTCTGGGGAGAGAGTAACATGGAGTACAAGGCATTCCACATTTAGGAAGAGAACTCAGTTATGGAAGGTCAGAAATGAAAAGTTCCTACAGACCAACACCCAGGTTGGTGGCCACAGCCCTAAATGCTGATGGAGAATCACTGCAAGTCTGTAGGGAAGATGTCTGGCTTGAGGCCACTGAGCGAAGTGGCAGATCCTTCTCAGCCTTCAGTGCTGAGCCTCTGTCCCCTCAGGGATCCACTGACCAATGAGAAGAGCCTCTTCTCATCTCCTGGGATGGAGCTTGGGGCCCCTGGCGAAGGAATGGGCCTGTTTCCACCTGTCATGTTGTCATCTAGCTTGGAAATCCTGCGAGTCCCAGGGAGGCCCTCCCCGAGTCCCCAGAGAAGACTCCCCCACTGAGTCTCCAAGGTGTGGAGAGAGCAAAAAACATCTAGGGTGGAAAATGCCTCCCATCAAGAGACATTGGGGCTCCCCCAACGATGGTTGCATCTGTGCCCCCCATGTGGAAATCACTCTTTGGTGAGAGGTGGGGGCTTCTGGAAATGGGCAATGGCGGGCGGCCAATGCTACCTCTAGTCTTTCCAATCTGAGCCCGGCCTTTCATGCTCCTGAGTCAGCATTGATGCTGTTTACATGTGTCCCAGGTGGGCTTCTGTACAAAGACTGGGAAGTGGTTTATGTGGCCTGTGCTCTATCTGCAAGCTTCAGGTAGGGTTGCAGTTACCACCCCAAACCCTAATGTGATCTGTCTGCCTCGCTCTGTCTGTCTGTCTATGCCTCTTTCTGTATGTTTGCTTTGTGTCTCTTCTGTCCAGCATCTCTGGCTGACACCCCCATGGCCACCCCCTCCATCTGAGGCTCCCCTGAATGTGGCCATTGTAGTCCATCTGAGTCCCACTATTTGGGGAACAGACTGGTTTCCTCACCTGTGACAGAAACAAGCAGTGGGTCACTAAGGTCTGACCACTCGTAGGGAGAGTCACGGAAAGAGCCGAAGCATCTGTAGGTCCCTCCGTGGGTGGCAGGGCCCAGAGGAAAGTTGGCCTGGAAGGTTCCATTGACCTTGGGCACTGCAGGGAACCTAAGTTCATGAGCCTCCCCCTCCCTTGATAGATGGTAGATGTCATAGGAGCTCCGGGAGCTGCAGGACAAGGTCACGCTCTCTCCTGCCTTAACCATGGGGCGCGGCTGGGCTGAGAGAGAAGGTTTCCCACATAGACCTGGAAGGAGAAGAGGCAGTTTCCTCAGGGAGGTTCTTCCTTGTCACAACTCCCCTCCCACCTGAGCTGAGAACTCACTCCCCTGCTCTATGGCCTAATGCTCTCTCTCTCTGTCTCACCCTCCACACCATCTCTCTTTATGTCTATTTCCTCTTTCCACCTTCTCTGTCTCTCTAGGTCTCTGACCTCACTTTCTCACCTCTAGATATGTTTTCCCTTTTTGGATTGTTTTATTCTCTCTGACTCTCCTTGGACTAGTTGACTTGATGTTACTTTTTTTAAATTCTGAGTTTCTCACTTTGTGTCCTGTTCATAACTTTCTGCATATTTCTATCTATTATCTATCGATATATCTATTTATCTATTTGGTGCCTATCTACAAATTCTCTACCTGTCATCTATATCTATATATAATCTATTTATCTATCAATTGTCTATCCAAAAATCATCTATTATCTATATCTATGTATCGTCTCTCTCTCTCTATGATTTCTCTTTGTCTGCCTCTCTATCTCTATGTATTATCTATCTATCTTCATCTTCATCATCTCTATGTATCATCGATTAATCAATGAATGAATCAATCATCATCTATGTATCTATAACCTATTATCTATCATCTACCTATTTATCATCTATCTATATCTATCCATCTATCATCTGTCTTGCTCTGCCTCTCGGTCTCTCTAGTTCTCTTTGGAATCTCTGCAATTCATCCCCACATCTCCATCTTTCTATGTCCTTGTGTCTCTCCCTCAGGACTCTAATTTTAGTGCTTTTCTCTGTTCCCTTCCATTGTTCTCTCCACTTCTCTGCCCTCTTTTCTCCCTCTTTATGTGTCTGTGAGTCTCTCAATCTCCTTCCTCTGGCTCATTCTCTGTGTGTTTATGTCTTTGCTTTTTGGTGTCCCTGATTTCTCTCTGTGTCTCTCAGTGATCCTCTCATATGTGGGGTTATTTGGAATGTGAGCCTCAGAATCCAGTCTGGGGACCGCAAGTTCACACAGTATACAGGGGTTGATGTTCTGGGGCCATGATATCCTGGGACGATTACTCTCCATTGCATGGAAGGCAGAGGTGTCAGAATAAACACGGCATCTGTAGGTGCCAGAAGGCCTGAGGCCACAGGGCCCAACTCAGGCCAGAAATATGGGTGTCCTTGGGTTCTTCTGGTAGAGAACACTTTGTGGAAGTAAAACAGAAATGAAACTTCTAACCTGTGCCAGGTCTCTGAGCAAAGTCAGCATGGAAGGACACCTCTCTCTGGCACATGTCTGTCTGTGTCTCCTTTAACTCTTTCTGTCTTTTCTAACTCCCTGTATGGCCCCTGTGTCTGTCCTCTGTTATGACACCTGGTCTGTACTTGTGTCTCCTGTTTCTCTGTCTCTGTTGGTACAGACCTCACCAAGTTAGTCTCTCTCCATAAGAATACCAAGCTCATCTTCCTTATAACCACCTGGGCCTCCAAGTCGTGGATCATTCACTCTGTGTCCCAGTGACAATGAGAATAATGTCCAGACACTCTCACCTGTAATCACGATGTCCAGAGGGTCACTGGGAGCTGACAACTGATAGGGGGAATGAGGAACAGAACCGTAGCATCTGTAGGTCCCTGCAAGGTCTTGCGTCATGCGACCGATGGAGAAGTTGGCCTTGGAGACCCCATCATGGAGCTCTCCAGTGAGGCGCAAAGTGTCATTAAACTTCCCCTCTCTGTGCAGAAGGAAGTGCTCAAACATGACATCTGACCAACATTGCAGGATGACTGTCTCTTCTGATTTCACCAGGGGACCTGGGTGGGCCAGGAGGGAAGGTTTTCTGTGGACTCCTAGGAAGAGAGGTTGTGACTTTAGAAGGCATCTCTCTTTATCATCCCATCCATGGCACCTAGAATGAGTGAGGCTTCCCCTCGCTGGTGTCTTATCTCTCTCCTTCCTCTCTGTGTCTTCATGTTCTTTTCTGTGCCCATAACTCCTGGTACAGGTCCTTCCATCTGTCTCCCTCCCTCTTCTCTGTCCCTCTGTCTCTAGTAGCTCCTGATTCCCTTGCCGCTGGGCTCAGCCTCATCTCTTGGGCTGTTGTATCTATTTCGAACTAATGTCTTTCCTGCTTCTATGTGGGGGTGGAAGAGGAACCAGGATAGGCTGCACGTCCAGGCTCTTAGCAGACTGGTTCAATCTCTTTTGGACGAATTGGAATCCTTGGCAGAAGGTATGAACTGATCAGTAAGGCAGGCACCAGTGTCCACACACCCTGTTCCTGGTGGGGACTGGGAGCCACTCTTGCCATGCCTGTGCCTTCTCCATGGTGCCAGCTTCCATAGGCTGGCTTCTGGTGCTGGTTTGAGGAGTATCAACCCCTCCCTATGTGGATGGAGCCTGGTGGTGGCATCATCATCCCACCCTTGCTGATCTCGGTGTAGCCAACCTTCTCTTTGTTTGGTTTCTTTAATTAATTAATTAATTTTGGAGTCAGAGTCTCACTCCTTCACCCAGGCTGGAGTGAAGTGGTGTGGTCTAGGCTCACTGCAACCTCTGTCTCCTGGGTTCAAGTGATTCTCCTGCCCTCAGCCTCCTGAGTTGCTAGGATTACATGCACCTGCCACCACGCCCGGCTATCCTTGTGTCCTTTCTTATCTTGTCCTTGACCTGGGTTCCAGTGTTGGTTTCCTGTTGGTGCTGTGGAAAATTATCAGAAGCATGGCAGCAGGAGAGAGCACACTGACCCCTTCCGTTTCTGGAGACAGAAATCGGACCCTGTTTTTTGAGGGCTAAAATCAAGGCATCTGCAGGGCTGCGTTCCCTCTGGAGACCCAGGAGAATCAGTTCCTTGACTTTTCCAGCCTCTATAGGCCACCTGCATTCATGGCTCATGGCCTTCCTCCACCTTCAAAGCTGATGGAGACTTCCATTGCACTGCTCTAATCGCCACTCCCCTCTTCCTTCTCCTCTCATGTGCACCCTTGTGATTACACTGAGCCCAGCAGGACAGTCCAGGCTGTCTCCCCATCTCAAGGTCAACTCAACAACCTGAGCTCCATCTTCCCCTTCAGTGCCTTCCCCTATAACATAAATAGTCACAGACTGCAGGGATTAGAATGCAGTCATCATTGGGGACAATTATTCTTTCCACCACAGCACCCATTTCCCTGTATTCAATCCCCTTTTACCCCAAATACAGTTAGGGTCTGGATGATGGGACGCTGGTGGACACTCCCACCAGAAGCTCTGGGACTCAGGAGGTGGGACAAGGAGAATCCCAGACAGGAGCCCTCTGACCTGTGACCATGATCACCAGGGGGTTGCTGGGTGCTGACCACCCAGTGAGGAAGTGTGGGTGTGAACCCCGACATCTGTAGGTCCCTGCATGTGCTGGGGTCACAGGGCCTATGAAAACGGTGTTTCGGAATACTCTGTTGTAGAGCTCAGGGACAGGCATCCCGTCTTCTTTGGACAGACTGAATTCGTTAAACCCAAGACGAGAGCGACACTGAAGAGCCACATGTTCTCCTTCAGACACCACAGGGCTGGGCCAGGCAGAGAGGAAGGGCTTGTCCTGACCACCTGGGGGAGAAGGAGGCGCCACCTTAGAGAGGAGGATGTGGCACTCCCTCCCTCTATTCCTTTCCAGGACTCACCAACACACGCCATGCTGACGACCATGAGCGACATGGTGCTGCCGGTGCAGACAGGCGGCCGCGCCCCAGCTCAGCTCAGCAGCGCACAGGATGTTATTTGGCGCCCTGCCCATGCAGCTTACATGTTGACTACATCATGGGAGGGTGACGTACGCAGGCTCTTTCTACCTTGCATGAGGCCCAGTGGATGCTTGCTCAAGAGCGGAACACGGCTTCCTGGAAATTGTTCTCACTAGAATTGGCACCTCACGTCCTTCACTATGACCAACTCACAACACGTCTCAGATCCAACCTCCCGAACACAAGATGCCTAAAATCTGTGCTAACGTGAAAGACTTTTCATGTATTTTTATCCGAACACGAGATGCCTAAAATCTGTGCTAACATGAAAGACTTTTCATGTATTTTTTTTGTTTTTATCTGAGATTCAAACTCTTCTTCCTGTGTAATATGCAAAGTATCTAATAGGTATTATTAATGTTTTCGGAGTCATTGTGACTAATAAACCATTAGAATTTTTCATGCTTGTATTTCTAGTATTACAGCAGAACCAGCTAAAATGATTTAAATTCCCAGGGAAGGATTATGCAATTATTTACAATCTTAGAATTGTACTTTATCAGCAAAAACCACACCTGTAAATTCTGGAGTTTTGTAGTTTAATCTAAAATTTGTCTCATGACCCAAGATTCCAGAGTCCCAACTCTGGAGTTTGCTCTCTGTCTGTCTCTCTCCCTCCCTCGTTTTAAATTTTACAGAAATATCCAGTAACATAATGCTATAGAAAATCAAGTTTTCCCCAGCACGTTGGGAAGCCGAGGTGGGCGGATCAACTGAGATAAGGAGTTTGAGAGCAGCCTGGCCAATATAGTGAAACCGTGTCTCTGTTAAAAATCCAAAAATTAGCCGTGCCTGGTGGCAGGCACCTGTAACGCCAGCTACTCAAGAGGCTGAGGCAGGAGAATCGCTTGAACCTGGGAGGCGGAGGTTGCAGTGAGCTGAGATTGTGCCACTGCAGTCCAGCCTGGGCGACAGAGCAAGACTCCGCCTCAAGAAAAAAAAAGCAAACAGCCTATAATAACAAATTAGAGGGCTCTGGCTACTAAATTTAAAGGGTTCTATAAGGCTACATAAAGTGCAGCATCATCAAGAGTGTGGACACAGAGAGCCCCTTAGCAGAAACAGTGTCTAAAATACATCCATGTACACACAGTCCCTTTAGAGTTGACAAAGGCTGCCGTGTGGTTTAAGGTGGCATAGAATGTCTTCTCAATAAATAATATTAAACCAATTGGTTACACCTAGGAAAAAATAAATCTAACTCACACTATAAAAACACTTCTTAGTTTTTATCTAGTTGTACATTTTTTATGATTTATATTTAAATTTGAGAAATAAAAGTCATATACGGTCATCCTTCACTATTCGTGGGTGATTGGTTTTGAGATCTCCACTCAGATACCAAAATCTGTAGATGCTCAAGCCTCTTATATGAAATGGCACAGCGTTTGCAAATAACCTATGCACATCCTCCTGTATACATGAAATCATCTCTAGATTACTTATAATTCCTGATACAGCCTACACACAGCTTCATTTGTGTCCATTCAACATAGTTATGCTTTTTGAAACTCTGTGGATACTTTCTCTCAATATTTTTGATTTATACTTGGTTCAATAAACACCTGTAAACCCCGCAGATATGGAGGAGTGACCGTATATTTATATTATGAAAGATGATGTGTTGATATGTGTCCCCATGGAGATGAGACTAACAAGGCCTATGATTCTACAAATGTTTCATTGTGGAATGACTCTGCCAGCTTTCCAGGTCTGCAGAGAGTAAGAGTATCACTTGTTCATATGATTCGTGATCCTTGGAACCTCCTATGTGCTACATCTTTGGATGGAAATTGGAGTCCCAGAGACAAATGAGGCTCCACCCTGCTTCCAGAAACTCAGAGTCCGGGGATGAGAACTCAGTGGGGAACAGATGGGATTATATGGACATGGTACTGATAACACCGGAAGCCTTAGGCAAGAAAAGAGTCCCATTACCGAAACCATGGGGGCAGACATGTTTATTTGAAGGATGGAAAACTACATTGAAGTTATTTTAAAAAATATATAAGTTTTACTGCTGACAGAAGACTGAAAGCTAGTCTGAGGGGAGGTGGAACAGCATGAGGGAAGGTGGAACAACACGTGTCTAAGTGCTGCGTTAAGAGGGAGCCTCTTGTATGTTTGGAATTGTGAGTTCCTCAGTGTGATTGCAGCCTCAAGTAGACTAGGAAGTAAGCCAGTTAGGTTGGAGAGGTGGGCAGGGGTCAAGTGAAATGGAGAACTGTGGGTTAAGCAAAGGAGTGTGTTTTTTCTCCAGCAGGCAGTGGGGACCTTAGACATTTGTAAGCAAGAGAGAGGCACATTCAGATTTGTGGTGTGAGGAAGATCGATGCCCTAAGATGCAGACTCACGCCTTCAGATTCCAGCTGCTGGTACATGGGAGCTGGCAACCCGGTTTTGAGACAGGGCTGTTGTCTCCCTAGAAGACGCCCTCAAGGCCTGACTGTGGTGCTCATGGGCAGGAGACAACTTTGGATCTGGACTCAGCATTTGGAAGTTCCGTGTACACGATGATATCTGTTGGGGGTGTCTTGGGCCTCTGAGAAGGGCGAGTGATTTTTCTCTGTGTGAAAACGCAGTGATTCAACTGTGTGTATGTCACCTCCTGAGGGTCTTGTTCATCAGAGTCCTGGAGAGAGGGAAATGCTGAGTGAGGGAGGGTGCTCACATTTTCCAGGACTCTTTGGGAATAACAGTAGCCACGAGCCCGGGCCGAGGAGTACCTACCTCGCTATTCGCTGTTCTGTTTCCTGCAGACTCTTGGTCCATTACCGCAGCATCTGTAGAAGATGGAAGTCAACAAAACAGCTCGGAGGGCACTTCTGGGTCCTCATTTCATAAGCAGATACCAACATACAGGGGGAGACCATAGGTGGCTGAGGTCCCTCAGTTGCCAACAGCAGACTCAGACATTCTATCTCTCTGAGCTCAAGGACCCATCCCATGAATAGCTCTGAGTTCCCATCCCATTGATTCTGTCTCCCACTTTCTGCCTGTCATGGAACCTTCTCCTGGATGTGAGTGGCTGCAGGGGACATGGGGATACAGTTCAGAATCAGGCAACGGTCTGTGAGTTGAAGGCAGGGACAGGGAGTCTGGTGCCCTCTCTAGAAAGTCCTGCCTCTGTGGCTGCTGCCTTGGGCCAGGGACCATCCTGTTTGTGAGGAACACACACCTGAGTGCTCCCATCCTGCTTCCCCACATGGCCCTGAGCTCTCTGGCCTCTGCTTCGTGAGACTTACTTTTTTTGTTGGAGCACCAGCGATGAAGGAGAAAGAAGAGGAGGATGAAGAGGATGATGACCACTGAGGTCCCAATCAGAATGTGCAGGTGTCGGGGGTTACCTGGAAGAAGATGAGACACCAATAAGAAGCTAATCTTAGCAGTTCCTCTTTATGAATTGTCTCGCATTTCTTGATTGACAGGTAACCACATAAAACACCTCTTTAGGACAAGCACCCAGATGGCAGGAGACCCAGCTTTCTCCTGCTTTTTCAGTTATAGCTCTCATAGTAACCATAGAACGTGCTGAGGATACGACTACTTTAGTTGAGATGTTTGACCCCTTCAAACCTCACATTGAAATTTCACCCCCACTGTGGGAGGTTGGGCCTCTTGAGAGGTGTTTGGGTCATGGAGGTGGATCCATCATGAACACATCAATGCTGTCCCAAGGAGACGGGGTTAGCAAGTTCCCCCTCTATTAGTTCCCGGAGAGCTGGTTGTTAAAAAGAGCTTGGAAGCTCCATCACTCCCCCTCCCCCTTGCTCCCTCTCTTGCCGTGTGATCTCTGTGGTCTCTGCACAGACAGACCCTCCTTCCCTTCTGCCAGAGTGGGAGCAGCCTGAGGCCGTCACGAGAAATAGATGCTGGTGCCATGCTTCCAGTACAGCCTGCAGAACGGTGAGGCAAACCAATCTCTTTTCTTTAGAAGTTACCGAGGCTCAAGTGTTCCTTTAGAGCAACAAAAATGGCCTAAGACAGCAACTTCCTGAGATCAGGAGGAACGTCTCAGAACACCCTGGGCTGTCTTCCTGTTCTTCCTGGAGGACGTCATGCAGTGCTTTAGCTGAGTGCTTCCTGTGGCTCCAG
Source organism: Homo sapiens (assembly GCF_000001405.40). NCBI lineage: Eukaryota > Metazoa > Chordata > Mammalia > Primates > Hominidae > Homo > Homo sapiens. Next base: position 58,087 of record NT_187676.1, on the reverse strand, counting down.
GGTACAAAACCCAGGCTGGGCTGCTTTCTGGCTTCCCGCAGCTACACTGCAAATGGGGTGACTCCATATGTCCCGAGGAGCTTTTCTGAGCCTTGAGGGACTGGGTCACATTGAAATATAGGTTTCTGTTGTCACTCGCTGCTTATCTGTTAGTAATGAACCTGCCTATGTAACGTATTCTCTGTGTGTTCTGTCTCCCTGGAGTGACGGTGAGTGATAGGAATTGGCATAGGCCCAGGTGCAGTCCAGGAGGTGTTTAGAGTCTTCTCTGGGAAGACTGGACTGGGATTGATTCACAGCGAATGTGCTTTAGGGTTTCTACATCCACAGCATTCTTGAATCAAACAACTTGCATTCTCCAAGGAAAGAAAACAAAAGTGAAATCAAGATAAAAAAAGCGAAATAGAATTCTCTTATGTCAAACGGCCAGGAAATAGTGTTGAAGCCCGTGTGAAACCTGCTGCTCTTTGTGATCTCGGGAGACACATATTAGGCTGCTGTTCTACCCGAGAGGCTGGGGGAAGGACCACCCCCTCGGCCATCTATTGCTTCAAAACCACCTGTCCTCCTGTGAATTAGTAGGAAAGGGGAGCAGGAGCTAGTGCTGTCGCTGATCTCTGATTCCAAGATCTGGACTCACTCCAAGGAGTGTTAATGTTTACCTCCCCATGGTCTATCTGAATCTCCACAGGTGATTGGAAGTAGGGGTGAGGTGGGGGATTTGGGTGAGTGGGCAAGTTTTTTTTGTGATGACCAGAGCACTTTCTCTATTCCAGGATCTGTGCTGGAGGATTCAGCGGGCTTTCACATTTTCTATATGATCTCATGCTCACAGAAAGCCAAATAGGGAAGAGGTTTTAGGCTCATTGCCTAATGGATAAGATAAAGGATCAAAGAAGTAATTATAGAGAAATAGAAAAACGATGATTGGAATTCAGGTGCCTTTGTCATTCGTGTGTGTTTTATTATATTTATGTATTTCTTATTTTTATTTTTTGAGATAGAGTCTCCTTGTGTCCCCCAGGCTGGAGTGCAGTGATGCAATCTCCACTCACTGCAACCTCCACCTACTGGGTTGAAGTCATTCTCCTGCTTCATCCTCCAGAATAGGAGCTGGGATTACAGGGATGCACCATCGTGCTCGGCTAATTTTTGTATTTTTAGTAGAGATAGGGTTTCACCACGTTGGCCAGGCTGGTCTGGAACTCCTGACTTCATGGAATCCACCCACCTTGGCCTCCTGCAGTGCTAGGTTACAGGCGTGAGCCACTGTTCACAGACTTGTATATTATGCTATAATAAGTCTCTTCATTTCCACCACCACTCATATATCTGTCACTCCTTTGCCAGGTATTGATTTATGTGTAGGATGAATAAATCTCAGAAAGAAATTAATTAAGCGAGGATTAAACAAGTAGGAAAATCAAACCCAGTAAGCCTTTCCAGTCAATGATTCTACCTCACAAACATATCTTATATCCATCTACTTCATTCATTTAGTGTCTAAATCAGCACCACATTTCACCAGTGGGGCGGCAATTGCCTTTTCCACGGTCTCCTAGATTCCAGTTATGCACCTGGGCCTCCCTTATTTTCATGTCAGTCATATTAATCATGTAGGGATTCCTGGTTACCCCGAGGTGAATCCAATGGCTGTGAGTGTCAAACACACACTCCTTGTTGCTCCTTAGTTTCCTGTGTACCCAGTGTGCTCTCCGTCTCTCTACAGTCGTCTTGTCATTCTCCCCACCTCATTCCCAGCATTTGAGTCAGAGCCTCTTCCTTCCACATCAGATTGTTTTCACCTTTGTGCCTTCATGGCTGACAGCTGTGTGTGCAAAATCCTTCCGCCAATCTTTCAGGGGTTCATTCCGTGTTTTTCATTAATGTCACAAATATCTGAATAGTGAGACCTTCTTTGTCACCTGAAATCATACACTCAGCATTATCTATTATTGATTTTGAATTCTGGCTGGGCACAGTGGCTCACGCCTGTAGTCCCATTACTTTGGCATGCTGAGACGGTCGGATCACTTGAGGTTGGGAGTTTCAGACAAGCTTGGCCAACGTGGTGAAACATCCTCTCTACAAAAAATATACAAAAAGAATTAGCCGGGCACGGTGGCAGTTGCCTGTAATCCCAGCTACTCGAGAGGCGGAGGCAGGAGAATCACTTGAATCCAGGAGACGCAGGTTGCAGTGAGCCAAGATCGTGACACTGCACTGTAGCCTGGAAGACAGAGGGCGACTCTGTCTCAATAAACAAAAGAACAAACAAAAAATAGATTTCATGCACAGATGCTTCCCAATGGACCATTCATTTATAGATCCACTTGTGCGTTCATTTTCTGCCCTCCCATTTAACCATCTGCAATATCAGTGTCCCAAGGGCAGAGGCCAAATGCATCTTGTTCACTGTTTGTGGAAGGCAGGAGAATGCTGTCCCACCCCAAAATGTCCCTGTCCTAGCCTCCATAGCTTGTGAATATGTTATTTTACATGGAAAGGAGGAATGAAGATTGCAGATGGAATTATGGTTGCTAATCAGCTGAACTTAAAACAAGGGTATCCTGGATGATTTCCAGGAGATTATGAGGGATTTTCATCTTGGTGAACCCAATAGAATCCCCAAGTTTTCAAAAGATGAGGAAGAAGGGAGAGCAGCACTCAGAGAAAGAGGTGTGGTAAGGAAGAAGGCACTGAGTGATGCCATGTGAGATGTGACCAGTCTTTGTGGGCTTTGAGGAAGGAGGAAGGGGACCAGGAGCCAAGGAACTGGGAGCCTTTAGAAGCTGGGACAAGTGAGAAGCAGATTCGTGCCTGGAATCCTCAGAGGGAAGGCAGCCTTGCTGTCACCTTGATTTTAGCCCAGTAAGATGCACTTCCTACTTTGAGCTACAGCACTGTAAGATAATTAAAAAACCGTTTTGTTTTCACCCACGAATCTTGTGGAAATTTGTTATGGCAACAATAGGAAAAGGTTCCACACTGCACAGCCTGAGCATGGGGCCGTGGCTGAATGAGTCAGTGAGTCGAAGTGTGCGTGCATGAGCTCTGTTCTCTGTTACGGCAAGGCTCTTTCTCTGCGGAGTCAGCCAGGGTTGCTTCATGACCTACAGGAGCTCATTCCTTGGCAAGTGGAACTTCTCTAAAACACCTTGCCCTCATCAGATGTTCCCTTCCCTTCCCTCTCTCAAGTCTCCAGGAATTTATCCTCCAGTTAGGAATGCAGGTAGAACAAACATTGCATTTTTCCTGAGAAGGATGTCAGATTGGCAATCATTCTTCTAGCTTGTAGGAGGTCTCAGCTCCATAAAATGAGAGATGAAGAGATTTCACTGAGCCCTGTGTTGGGCCCAGATCCCTTTCGCTGTAGGAGTATCTGGAGTTCGGAGATGGTGGAAGACAAGTGTACAATGTCAGAGCTGTGAGATGCTGAGTCAACGCCTGAATCCAAGGTTCCCACCTCCCCAGGGTTCCAAAAGCGGATATAAGAGGGTTCTGTACTCACCGGTTTTGGAGCTTGGTTCAGTGGGTGAAGGCCAACTATTTGAAGGGTTTCCTAGAACATGAGACAGGAGAGAGGTGAGGAAATGAGGGTGTCTGTCCTCCACTCAGTGGAAATCTTTGAGGATGGTTCATGGCCAACACTCTCTTATCTAATATTGAGCCCTGGGAGTCCTGGGATCCTTTTTTCCATAATTTTTTTATATGACACCCACTGTCTTGAGACTTCAAGATATAAAGAGAAAACAGGAGCATCACACTACCTGATCTCAAAATATGTTACAGAGCTGTAGTAAGCAAAATAGCATGACATTGGCATAAAGAAAGGCACATAGAACAACGGAGCAGAATGAATAACACAGATATATTCCATGCATTTACATCCAATGGTTTTTTATTTTTTCTTTTGAGATGGAGTCTTGCTCTGTCACTCAGGCTGGAGTGCAGAGGTGCAATCTCGGTTCACTGCAACCTCAGCCTCCTGGGTTCAATCATTCTCTTGCCTCAAATTCCTGAGTAGTGGTATTACAGGTGCTGACCACCATGCTCAGCTAATTTTTATATTTTTAGTGGAGACGATGTTTCATCACGTTGGCCAGACTAATCTTGAACTCCTGGCCTCAGGTGATCCACCCACCTCGGGCTCCCAAAGTGCTGAAATTGCAGGTGTTAGCCACCAAGCCCAGCCCATCCAATGGACTTTGACAAAGATGCCAAGAACTCACAATCAGGAAAGGACAGTCTTTTCAATAAACAGTGCAGGGAAACCTGGACATCTACATGCAGAGGAATGAAACTGCAACTCTACCTGTCACCATACACAAAAATCAAATGAAAATGGATTAAAGATGTGAGTCTAAGGCCTGAACCTATGAAACACGTAGAACAAAATATTGGGGAAATGCTCCAGGACGTTTGTCTGAAGGAAGACATTTTGTTTTAAACCTTCAAAACACAAGTAATCGAAGCAAAAATAGACCATTGGGATTACCTCAAACTAAGCAACTTCAGCACTGCTAAAAATAAACCAACAAAGTGAAGAGACAACCCACAGATTGGGAGCAAATATGTGCAAACTATGCATCTGAGATGGGATTAATAACTAGAAATATAAGAAGCTCAAACAACTCAATAAAACAAATGATTTAATTGAAAAAGGAGCAAAAGACATGAAATTTCCCCACATACGAAAAAGTGCTCAGTATCACTCATCATCAGAGAAACGCAAATTAAAATCAAAGTGAGTTTTCATCTCACCCCATTAAAATGGCTTTTAGGCCGGGTGAGGTGGCTCACTTGTGTCATCCTAGAACTTTGAGAACCTGAGGTGGGTGAATCTCATAAGGTTGGGAGTTTGAGACCAGTCTGACCCACATAGAGAAACGCTGTCTCTACTAAAAATACAAAAATTAGTAGGGCGTGGTGGCGTGTGCCTGTAATTCCAGCTACTCGGGAGGCTGAGGCAGGAGAATCGCTTGAACCTGGGAGGTGGAGGTTGTGGTGAGCCGAGATAGCGCCACTGCACTCCAGCCTGGGTGAGAAGAGCAAAACTCCATCTCAAAATAAAATGAAATAAAATAAAATGGCTTTTAGCTGCAAGACAGGCAAAAGAAATGCTGGCAAGGTGGTAGAGAAAGGAGAACCCTGGTACCCTGTTGGGAGGAGTGTAAATTAGTACAGCCATTACGGAGAAAAGTATGGAAGTCCTTTAAAGAACTAAAAAGAGGTTGGGTGAGGTGGATCATGCCTGTAATCCCGGCACTTTGGGAGACTGAGGCGGGCACCTCAGTTGAGGTCATGAGTTTGAGAGCAGCCCAGCCAACATGGGGAAACCGCATCTATACTAAAAAAACCAAAAAGTAGCCAGGCATGGTGGTGTGCACCTGTAATCCCAGCTACTAGGGAGGCTGAGGCAGGAAAATCATTTGAACCCAGGAGGCGGAGGTTGCAATGAGCCAAGGTTGCACCACTTTGACTCCAGCTTGGGCTAAGGAGGGAAACTCTTTCTCAAAAAAGAAAAAAAAAAAAAAAAGAGAACTTTCATAGTATCCAGCAATTTCACTACTGGGTTTATATCCAAAGGAAAGTAAATCAACATATCGAAGTGATATCTGCACTCGTATGATTGGTGCAGCACTGTTCACAGTAGCCAAGATGAGGAGTCAACCTACCTGCCCATCAGTGGGTGAATGGATAGAGAGAATGTAGTACATACGCACAGTGGAGACTACTCATCCATAGAAAGAATAACATCCTGTCATTTGCAGCCACATGGATGGAACTGGAGGTCATTAAAAAGATTCCCATTTCTCACCCATATACAGGAGCTAAAAGGTGGATCTCATGAAGGTAGAGAGTAGAATGGTGGCTACTGGAGGACAGGAAGAAAAGGGTGGAGGGTAAAAAAAATGTATATATATATATATATAAAAATGTATTTATGACCACTAGACTTTACACTTAAAAATGGTAAATGTGGCTGGGCCTGGTGGCCCATGCCTGTAATCCCAGCACTTTGGGAGGCTGATGCGGGTGGATCACGTGGTCAGGAGTTCGAGACCAGCTCGACCAACATGGTGAAACCACCTCTCTACTAAAAATACAAAAAGTAGCCTGGCGTGGTGGTGCGTGCCTGTAGCACTAGCTACTCAGGTGGCTGAGGCAGGAGAATCGCTTGAACCCAGGAGGCGGAGGTTGCAGTGAGCTGAGATTGTGCCACTGCACTCCATCATAGGGGACAGAGCTAGACTCCACCTCAAAAAAAAATGTTAAAAGTGGTAAGCTATATAGGTATATTTATCCTCAATAAATATTTCTTCAAAGAAAAGTAAAGGGTGTAGGGGTTGCTGGTGATGACATCTCTGTGTGGGTGAGAGGCCAGGATGGGCTTCTGGGAAATGGGTAAGGTTGAGGGGCTGAGGGAACCTCTGATCTCCCCAAACTGAGCCCAGTCTCCCTCCTCTGGGTCTCTCCTGACCGCTTTCTCCATCTGCCTGGGTGCCTGGAGCCCTGGCCGTGGGCCTCCATGCAGGCCATGTAGGAGGGTTTGGAGGTGCCCTGTCGGCCATCCTGTGCCCTGATCCCTCCCTCACACCGAGGCTGCGTCTTCTCTCTGCATCTGTCCATGCTTCTCTCCATCCTCAGCAGGAAGCTCCTCAGCTAAGGCTCTAGGATCATAGGACATGGGACAGCCATGGGCTTTCCTCACCTGTGACAGAAACAAGCAGTGGGTCACTTGACTTTGACCACTCGTATGGAGAGTCATGGAAAGAGCCGAAGCATCTGTAGGTCCCTCCGTGGGTGGCAGGGCCCAGAGGAAAGTCAGCCTGGAATGTTCCGTTGACCTTGGGCCCTGCAGGGAGCCTACGTTCATGGGCCTCCCCTTCCCTGGATAGATGGTACATGTCATAGGAGCTCCGGGAGCTGCAGGACAAGGTCACATTCTCTCCTGCCAGAACCGTGGGGCCCAGCTGGGCTGAGAGAGAAGGTTTCTCATATAGACCTGGAAGGAGAAGAGGCAGTTTCCTCAGGGAGGATCTTCTTTGTCACAGCTCCCTTCACCTGAGCTGAGAACTCACTCCCCTGTTCTATGACCTAATGCTCTCTCTCTCTCTCTCTCACCCTCTACCCCATCGCTCTTCATGTCTATTTCCTCCTTCCACCTTCTCTGTCTCTCTAGGTCTCTGACCTCACTTCCCCACCTCTAGATATGTTTTCTCTTTTTGGATTGTTTTATTCTCTCTGACTCTCCTTGGATTGGTTGACTTGATGTTACTTTTTTTAATTCTGAGTTTCTCACTTTGTGTCCTGTTCATAACTTTCTGCATATTTCTATCTATTATCTATCGATCTATCTATTTATCTATTCGGTGCCTATCTACAAATTCTCTACCTGTCATCTATATCTATATATCATCTATTTATCCATCAATTGTCTATCTATCCATCAATCATCTATTATCTATATCTATGTATCATCTCTCTCTCTCTATGATTTCTCTATGTCTGCCTCTGTATCTCTATGTATTATCTATCTATCTGTCTTCATCATCATCATCTCTATGTCTCATCTATTAATGAATCAATCAATCATCATCTATGTATCTATAACCTATTATCTATCATCTACCTATTTATCATCTATCTATATCTATCCATCTATCATCTGTCTTGCTCTGCCTCTCGGTCTCTCTAGTTCTCTTTGGAATCTCTGCAATTCATCCCCACATCTCCATCTTTCAATGTCCTTGTGCCTCTCCCTCAGGAGTCTAATTTTAGTGCTTTTCTCTGCTCCCTTCCATCATTCTCACCACTCCTCTGCCCTCTTTTCTCTCTCTTTATGTGTCTGTGAGTCTCTCAATCTCCTTCCTCTGGCTCATTCTCTGTGTGTTTATGTCTTTGCTTTTTGGTGTCCCTGATTTCTCTCTGTGCCTCTCACTGATCCTCTCATAAGTGGGCTTATTTGGAATATGAGCCTCAGAATCCAGTCTGGAGACTACAAGTTCACACAGCATACAGGGGTTGGTGTTGTGGGGCCATGATATCCTGGGACGATTACTCTCCATTACATGGAAGGCAGAGGTGTCAGAATAAACATGGCATCTGTAGGTGCCACAAGGCCTGAGGCCACAGGGCCCAACTCAGGTCAGAAATATGGGTGTCCTTGGGTTCTCCTGGTAGAGAACACTTTGTGGAGGTAAAACAGAAATGAAACTTCTAACCTGTGCCAGGTCTCTGAGCAAAGTCAGCATGGAGGGACACCTCTCTCTGGGACATGTCTGTCTGTGTGTCTCCTTTAACTCTTTCTGTCTTTTCTAACTCCCGGTATGGCCCCTGTGTCTGTTCTCTGTTATGACACCTGGTCTCTACTTGTGTCTCCTGTTTCTCTGTCTCTGTTGGCACAGACCTCACCAAGTCAGTCTCTCTCCATAAGAATACCAAGCTCATCTTCCTTACAGCCACCTGGGTCTCCAATTCCTGGATCATTCACTCTGCATCCCAATGACAATGAGAAGAAAGTCTGGACACTCTCACCTATGATCACGATGTCCAGAGGGTCACTGGGAGCTGACACCTGATAGGGGGAGTGAGTAACAGAACCGTAGCATCTGTAGGTCCCTGCCAGGTCTTGCGTCATGCGACTGATGGAGAAGTTGGCCTTGGAGACCCCATCATGGTGTTCTCCAATGAGGCGCAAAGTGTCGTTAAACATCCCCTCTCTGTGCAGAAGGAAGTGTTCAAACATGACATCTGACCAACACTGCAGGATGACTGTCTCTTCTGATTTCACCAGGCGACCTGGGTGGGCCAGGAGGGAAGGTTTTCTGTGGACTCCTAGGAAGAGAGGTTGTGAGTTTAGAAGGTGTCTCTCTTTATCATCCCATCCATGGCACCTGGATTGAGTCAGGCTTCCCCTTCCTGGTGTCTTATCTCTCTCCTTCCTCTCTGTGTCTTCATGTTCTTTTCTGTGCCCATAACTCCTGGTGCAGGTCCTTCCATCTGTCTCCCTCACTCTTCTCTGTCCCTCTGTCTCTAGTAGCCTCTGATTCCCTTGCCGCTGGGCTCAGCCTCATCTCTTGGGCTGTTGTATCTATTTCGAACTAATGTCTTTCCTGCTGTCTATGTGGGGGTGGAAGAGGAACCAGGATAGGCTGCACATCCAGGCTCTTAGCAGCCTGGTTCAATCTCTTTTGGACGAATTGGAATCCTTGGCAGGAGGTATGAACTGATCAGTAAGGCAGGCACCAGTGGCCACACACCCTGTTCCTGGTAGGGACTGGGAGCCACTCTTGCCATGCCAGTGCCAGCTTCCATAGGCTGGCTCCTGGTGCTGGTTGGAGGAGTATCAACCCCTCCCTATGTGGATGGAGCCTGGTGGTGGCATCATCATCTGAGCCTTGCTGATCTCAGTGTAGCCAACCTTCTCCTTGTTTGGTTTCTTTAATTAATTAATTAATTTTGGCGACAGAGTCTCACTCCTTTGCCCAGGCTGGAGTGAAGTGGTGTGGTCTAGGCTCACTGCAACCTCTGTCTCCTGGGTTCAAGTGATTCTCCTGCCCTCAGCCTCCCAAGTCGCTAGGATTACATGCACCTGCCACCATGCCTGGCTATCCTTGTGTTGTTTCTTAACTTGTCCTTGACCTGGGTTCCAGTGTTGGTTTCCTGTTGCTGCTGTAGAAAATTATCAGAAGCATGGCACCAGGAGAGAGCACACTAACCCCTTCCAATTCTGGAGACAGAAATCGGACCCTGTTTGTCGTGGGTAAAATCAAGGCACCTGCAGGGCTTCGTTCCCTCTGGAGACTCAGGAGAATCAGTTCCTTGACTTTTCCAGCCTCTATAGGCCACCTGCATTCATGGCTCCTGGACTTCCTCCACCTTCAAAGCTGATGGAGACTCCCATTATGCTGCTGTAATCCCCACTCCCCTCTTCCTCCTCCTTTCATGTGGACCCCTGTGACTACACTGAGCCCATCAGGACAGTCCAGGCTGTCTCCCCATCTCAAGGTCAACTCATCAACAACCTGAGCTCCATCTTCTCCTTCAGTCCCTTCCCCTATATCATAAATAGTCACAGACTCCAGGGATTAGAATGTAGTCATCACTGGGGACAATTATTCTTCCCACCACAGCACCCATTTCCCTGTATTCAATCCCCCTTTACCCCAAATACAGTCAGGACTTGCATGATGGGACCCGCAAGGACACGCCCACCAGGAGCTCTGGGATTCAGGAGGTGGGACAAGGAGAATCCCAGACAGGAGCCCTCTGACCTGTGACCGTGATCTCCAGGGGGTTGCTGGGTGCCGACCACCCACTGGGGTAGTGTGGTTGTGAACCCCGACATGTATAGGTCCCTGCGTGTGCTGGGGTCACAGGGCCCATGAAAAGGCTGTTCCAGAATATTATGTTGTAGAGCTCAGGGACAGGCACCCCATCTTCCTTTTACAGACTGAAGTTGTTAAACCCAAGATAAGAATGACACTGAAGAATCACATGTCCTGGAGGCACCACAGGGCTTGGCCAGGCAGACAGCAAGGGCTTGTCCTGACCACCGTGGGGAGAAGGAGGCACCGCCTTAGAGAGGAGGATGTGGAGCCGCCCCTCCCTCCCTGTGCTCTGAAGATTCTCCTCGCTTTCCAAGTTTCTATGGCTGCTATCACACCTTGGTGCCCAGGGCTAAAGGAAGGACCCATCCCGCAAACACAAGGTGTCTCCCTACAACAAAAGTGTCAGCTGAGAACTTTGAGCAAGTGCTGAGTAAGAGACTCCTACTAGATTTTAATACTGTAAGATTACTCACATAAAACAACACAGGGTAGACATGGGGTGGAGGGCATGTCCTTTGAGAATGGAATATCAGCCGATGCCTGAACGAAAATAAACAACTGAGTCCCCATCAGAGGATTGGAATGTCAGGGCCATGGCTGTGGTTTTCCCACCTCTTCTGGTAGAATGACAGCAGCCACACTGCAGCCCCTACCGTCATGGAAACGCTGAAGTGTGTGAGTAACACCTTTGTCCTCAGAGGATCTGCTGTTCCTACCACTTCCCCACCACACACCCCAGCTTTGAGCACCGTAGTCTAACCCTGGTCCCCACAGAACTTGACTCTGCCAAGGGAATGAAAGGCCAGGGAGGCAAGGTCAGAAATGTGGGCCCAGCACCCCAGGGTCCCTTCTTCCTAGTTTATGAGAGACTCCCTGACAGGACTTCCCTCCCATTTCAGGAAAATCCTCTTATGTGGGGAGATGACACCCGAAGGTTGGGAGAAGGACTCACCCTCATGTGGCCAGGCCCCCTGCAGCAAGAAGAACCCTGGAAAGAAAGATCATGATGGATGACCCATCTGCAGGCAAACCAGGGCACCCTTGCTGCCCCCACTGGGCTGTGAGTCTTGGTAGCCAGGCCCTTCCTGGGCTGAAGGTAAACTCACCCTCAGTGCCTACCTGCACCCAAGAACAGGGCTGTCGGCTGTGCAGAGACCCAGCCTCCAGGTCCATATCCCCACCTCAAGCCCATATCTCCACTCCAGGCCCATATCTCCACTCCAGGCCGATATTTCCACCCTAAGCCCATATCGCCAATCCAGGCCCATATCTCCAATCCAGGCTCAGATCTCCACCCTGGGCCCATATCTCCAATCCAGGCCCTTATCTCCACTCCAGGTCCATATCTCCTCTCCAGTCCCATATCTCCACTCCAGGCCCATATATCCTCTCCAGTCCCATATCTCCACACCCAGGCCCGTATCTCCATCCTAGGCACATATCTCCTCTCCAGGCCCAGATATCGACCTCTAGGCCCATATCTCCACTCCTGGCCCATATCTCCACTCCAGGCCCAGATATCGACCTCTAGGCCCATATCTCCACTCCTGGCCCATATCTCCACTCCAGGCCCATGTCTCCACTTCAGGCCCATATCTCTACTGCAGGCCCATAACTCCACCTCCAGGCCCATGACTCCACTCCAGGCCCATATCTCCACCTCCAGGCCCATATCTCCCCTCCAGGTTCCTATCTCCCCTCCAGGTTCCTATCTCCACTCCAGGCCCAGATCTCCACTACAGTCCCATCACTCCACCTCCAGGCCTATATCTCGACCTCTGGGCCCAGATCTCCACTTCTAGGCCCATCACTCCATCTCTAGGCCCATATATCCACTCCAGGCCCAGATCTCCACTCCAGGCCCATAACTCCACCTCCAGGCCTATATCTCCACCTCTGGGCCCAGATCTCCATCCCCTCACTCCCTCCCTCTATTGCTTTCCAGGACTCACCAACACACGCCATGCTGACGACCAAGAGCGACATGGTGCTGCCGGAGCAGACAGGCAGCCGCGACCGAGCTCAGCTCAGCAGCGCACAGGATGTTATTTGGCGCCCTGCCCATGCAGTTTACATGTTGACCACATCATGGGAGGGTGACGTACGCAGGCTCTTTCTACCTTGCATGAGGCCCAGTGGGTGCTCGCTCAAGAGCGGAACACGGCTTCCTGGAAATTGTTCTCGCTAGAATTTGACACCTAGTGTCCTTCACTATGACCAACTCAAAACACGTCTGAGATCCAACCTCCCGAACACGAGATGCCTAAAATCTGTGCTAACATGAAAGACTTTTCATGTATTTCTATTGTTTTTATCTGAGATTCAAACTCTTCTTCCTGTGTAATATGCAAAATATCTAATAGGTATTATTAATGTTTTCAGAGTCATTGTCACTAATAAACCATTAGAATTTTTCATGCTTGTATTTCTAGTATTACAGCAGAACCAGTTAAAATGATTTAAATTCCCAGGGAAGGATTATGCAATTATTTACAATCTTAGAATTGTACTTTATCAGTAAAAACCCCACCTGTAAATTCTGGAGTTTTGTAGTTTAATCTAAAATTTGTCTCATGACCCAAGATTCCAGAGTCCCAACTCTGGAGTTTGTTTTCCGTCTGTCTCTCTCCCTCCCTCATTTTAAATTTTACAGAAATATCCAGTAACATAATGCTATAGAAAATCAAGTTTCCCCAGCACGTTGGGAAGCCGAGGTGGGCGGATCAACTGAGATAAGGAGTTTGAGAGCAGCCTGGCCAATATAGTGAAACCGTGTCTCTGCTAAAAATCCAAAAATTAGCCGTGCCTGGTGGCAGGCACCTGTAACGCCAGCTACTCAAGAGGCTGAGGCATGAGAATCGCTTGAACCTGGGAGGCAGAAGTTGCAGTGAGCTGAGATTGTGTCACTGCAGTCCAGCCTGGGCGACAGAGCAAGACTCCGCCTCAAGAAAAAAAAGCAAATAGCCTATAATAACAAATTAGAGAGCTCTGGCTACTAAATTTAAAGGGTTCTATAAGGCTACATAAAGTGCAGCATCATCAAGAGTGTGGACACAGAGAGCCCCTTAGCAGAAACAGTGTCTAAAGTACATCCGTGTACACACAGTCCCTTTAGAGTTGACAAAGGCTGCCGTGTGGTTTAAGGTGGCATAGAATGTCTTCTCAATAAATAATATTAAACCAATGGGTTATACCTAGGAAAAAATAAATCTAACTCACACTATAAAAACACTTCTTAGTTTTTATCTAGTTGTACATTTTTTATGATTTATATTTAAATTTGAGAAATAAAAGTCATATACGGTCATCCTTCACTATTCGTGGGTGATTGGTTTCGAGATCTCCACTCAGATACCAAAATCTGTAGATGCTCAAGCCTCTTATATGAAATGGCACAGAGTTTGCAAATAACCTATGCACATCCTCCTGTATACATGAAATCATCTCTAGATTACTTATAATTCCTGATGCAGCCTACACACAGCTTCATTTGTGTCCATTCAACACAGTTCTGCTTTTTGTAACTCTGTGGATACTTTCTCTGAATATTTTTGATTTATACTCGGTTCAATAAAGAACTGTAAACCCCACAGATATGGAGGAGTGACTGTATATTTATAGTGTGAAAGATGATGTGTTGATATGTGTCCCTGTGTAGATGAGACTAACAAGGCCTATGATTCTACAAATGTTTCATCTTGGAATGACTCTGCCAGATTTCCAGGTCTGCAGAGAGTAAGAATATCACTTGTTCATGTGATTCACGATCCTTGGAACCTCCTATGTGCTACATCTTTGGATGGAAATAGGAGTCCCAGAGACAAATGAGGCTCCACCCTGCTTCCAGAAACTCAGAGTCCGGGGGTGAGAACCCAGTGGAGAACAGATGGGGTTATGTGGACATGGTAATGATAATGGAAGTCTTAGGCAAGAAAAGAGTCCCATTACCGAAACCATGAGGGCAGACATGTTTATTTGAAGGAGGGAAAACTACATTGAAATTATTTTAAAAAATATATAAGTTTTACTGCTGACAGAAGGCTGAAAGATACTCTGAGGGGAGGTGGAACAGCATGAGGGAAGGTGGAACAGGACGTGTCTAAGTGCCGTGTTAAGAGGGAGCCTCTTGTATGTTTGGAACTGTGAGTTCCTCAGTGTGATTGCAGCCTCAAGTAGACTAGGAAGTAAGCCAGTAAGGTTGGAGAGGTGGGCAGGGGTCAAGTGAAATGGAGAATTGTGGGCTAAGCAAAGGAGTGTGTTTTCTCTCCAGCAGGCAGTGGGGACCTTAGACATTTGTAAGCAAGAGAGAGGCACATTCAGATTTGTGGTGTGAGGAAGAGCGATGCCCTAAGATGCAGACTCACGCCTTCAGAGTCCAGCTGCTGGTACATGGGAGCTGGCAACCCGGTTTTGAGACAGGGCTGTTGTCTCCCTAGAAGATCCCCTCAAGGCCTGACTGTGGTGCTCATGGGCAGGAGACAACTTTGGATCTGGACTCAGCATTTGGAAGTTCCGTGTACACTCTGGTATCTGTTGGGGGTGTCTTGGGCCTCTGAGAAGGGCGAGTGATTTTTCTCTGTGTGAAAACGCAGTGATCCAACTGTACGTATGTCACCTCCTGAGGGTCTTGTTCATCAGAGTCCTGGAGAGAGGGAAATCCTGAGTGAGGGAGGGTGCTCACGTTTTCCAGGACTGTTTGGGAATAACACTAGCCACGAGGCTGGGCCGAGGAGCACCTACCTCGCTATTCGCTGTTCTGTTCCCTGCAGGCTCTTGGTCCATTACAGCAGCATGTGTAGGAGACGGAAGTCAACAAAAGAGCTCGGAGGGCACTTCTGGGTCCTCATTTCATAAGCAGATACCAACAAACAGGGGGAGGCCATAGGTGCCTGAGGTCCCTCAGTTGCCAACAGCAGACTCAGACATTCTATCTCTCTGAGCTCAAGGACCCATCCCATGAATAGCTCTGAGTTCCCATCCCATTGATTCTGTCTCCCACTTTCTGCCTGTCATGGAACCTTCTCCTGGATGTGAGTGGCTGCAGGGGACATGAGGATACAGTTCAGAATCAGGCAACGGTCTGTGAGCTGAAAGCAGGGACAGGGAGTCTGGTGCCCTCTCTAGAAAGTCCTGCCTCTGTGGCTGCTGCCTTGGGCCAGGGACCATCCTACCTGTGAGGAACACACACCTGAGTGCTCCCATCCTGCTTCCCCACATGGCCCTGAGCTCTCTGGCCTCTCCTTCGTGAGACTTACTTTTCTTGTTGGAGCACCAGCGATGAAGGAGAAAGAAGAGGAGGAGGATGAAGAGGATGATGACCACTGAGGTCCCAATCAGAACGTGCAGGTGTCTTGGGTTACCTGGAAGAAGATGAGACACCAATAAGAAGCTAATCATAGCAGTTCCTCTTTATGAATTGTCTCGCATTTCTTGATTGACAGGTAACCACGTAAAACACCTCTTTAGGACAAGCACCCAGATGGCGGGAGACCCAGCTTTCTCCTGCTTTCTCAGTTATAGCTCTCAAAGTAACCATAGAATGTGCTGAGGACACAACTACTTTAGTTGAGATGTTTGACCCCTTCAAACCTCACATTGAAATTTCACCCCCATTGTGGGAGGTTGGGCCTCTTGAGAGGTGTTTGGGTCATGGAGGTGGATCCATCATGAACAGATCAATGCTGTCCCAAGGAGACGGGGTTAGCTAGTTCCCCCTCTATTAGTTCCTGGAGAGCTGGTTGTTCAAAAGAACTTGGAAGCTCCATCGCTCCCCCTCCCCCTTGCTCCCTCTCTTGCCGTGTGATCTCTGTGGTCTCTGCACAGACAGACCCTCCTTCCCTTCTGCCAGAGTGGGAGCAGCCTGAGGCCATCACGAGAAATAGATGCTGGTGCCATGCTTCCAGTACAGCCTGCAGAACGGTGAGGCAAACCAATCTCTTTTCTTTAGAAGTTGCCCAGGCTCAAGTGTTCCTTTAGAGCAACAAAAATGGACTAAGACAGCAACGTCCTGAGATCAGGAGGAACGTCCCAGAGCAGCCTGGGCTGTCTTCCTGTTCTTCCTGGAGGAGGACGTCATGCAGTGCTTTAGCTGAGTGCTTCCTGTGGCTCCAGGGTACAAAACCCAGGCTGGGCTGCTTTCTGGCTTCCCCCAGCTACACTGCAAATGGGGTGACTCCATATGTCCCGAGCAGCTTTTCTGAGCCTTGAGGGACTGGCTCACATTGAAATGTAGGCTTCTGTTTTCACTCGCTGCTTATCTGTTAGTAATGAACCTGCCTATGTAACGTATTCTCTGTGTGTTCTGTCTCCCTGGAGTGACGGTGAGTGATAGGAATTGGCGTAGGCCCAGGTGCAGTCTAGGAGGTGTTTAGGGTCTTTTCTGGGAAGACTGCACTGGGATTGACACACAGCGAATGTGCTTTAGGATTTCTACATCCACAGCATTCTTGAGTCAAACAACTTGCGTTCTCCAAGGAAAGGAAACAAAAGTGAAATCAAGATAAAAAAGCGAAATAGAGTTATCTTATGTCCAACAGCCAGGAAATCGTGTTGAAGCCCCTGTGAAACGTCCTACTCTTTGTGATCTCGGGAGACACATGTTAGGCTGCTGTTCTACCTGAGAGGCTGGGGGAAGGACCACCCCCTCCACCATCTATTGCTTCAATACCACCTGTCCTCCTGTGAATTAGTAGGAAAGGGGAGCAGGAGCTAGTGCTGGTGCTGATCTCTCATTCCAAGATCTGGACTCACTCCAAGGAGTATTAATGTTTACCTCCCCATGGTCTATCTGAATCTCCACAGGTGATTGGAAGTAGGGGTGAAGTGGGGGATTTGAGTGAGAGGGCAAGTTTTTTTTGTGATGAACAGAGCACTTTCTCTATTCCACGATCTGTGCTGGAGGATTCAGCGGGCTTTCACATTTTCTATATGGTCTCATGCTCACAGAAAGCCAAATACGGAAGAGGTTTTAGGCTCATTGCCTAATGGATAAGACAAAGGATCAAAGAAGTAATTATAGAGAAATACAAAAATGATGATTGGAATTCAGGTGCCTTTGTCATTCGTGTGTGTTTTATTATATTTATGCATTTCTTATTTTTATTTTTTGAGACGGAGTCTCCTTGTGTCACCCAGGCTGGAGTGCAGTGATGCAATCTCCACTCACTGCAACCTCCACCTCCTGGGTTGAAGTCGTTCTCCTGCTTCATCCTCAAGAGTAGGAGCTGGGATTACAGGGATGCACCACCATGCTCGGCTAATTTTTGTATTTTTCATAGAGACAGGGTTTCACCATTTTGGCCAGGCTGGTCTGGAACTCCTGACTTCAAGTGATCCACCCGCCTTGGCCTCCTGCAGTGCTGGGAATTGCCTTTTCCACGGCCTGAGCATGGGGCCGTGGCTGAATGAGTCAGTGAGTCGAAGTGTGCGTGCATGAGCTCCGTTCTCTGTTAAGGCAAAGCTCTTGCTCTGCTGAGTCAGCCAGGGTTGCTTCATGACCAACAGTAATTCATTCCTGGGCAAGTGGAACTTCTCTAAAACACCTCGCCCTCATCAAATGTTCCCTACCCTTCCCTCTCTCAAGCCCCCAGGAATTTATCCTCCAGTTAGGAATGCAGGCAGAACAAACATTGCATTTTTCCTGAGAAGGATGTCAGATTGCCAATCATTTTTCTAGCTTGTAGGAGATCTCAGCTCCATAAAATGAGAGATTAAGAGATTTCACAGAGCCCTGTTTTGGGTCCAGATCCCTTTCGCTGTTGGAGTATCTGGAGTTTGGAGATGGTAGAAGACAGGCGTACAATGTCAGAGCTGTGAGATGCTGAGTCAACGCCTGAATCCAAGGTTTCCACCTCCCCAGGTTTCCAAAAGCGGATATAAGAGGGTTCTGTACTCACCGGTTTTGGAGCTTGGTTCAGTGGGTGAAGGCCAACTATTTGAAGGGTTTCCTAGAACATGAGACAGGAGAGAGGTGAGGAAATGAGGGTGTCTGTCCTCTACTCAGTGGAAATCTTTGAGGTTGGTTCATGGCCAACACTCTGTTATCTAATATTGGGCCCTGGGAGTCCTGGGATCCTTTTTTCCGTAATTTTTGTATGTGACGGCTACTGTCTTGAGACTTCAAGGTATAAAGAGAAAACAGGAGCATCACACTACCTGATCTCAAAATATGTTACAGAGCTGTAGTAAGCAAGACAGCATGACGTTGGCATGAAGAAAGGCACATAGAACAACGGAGCAGAATGAATAACACAGATATAATCCATGCATTTACCTCCAATGTATTTTTTGTTTTTCTTTTGAGATGGAGTCTTGCTCTGTCACCCAGGCTGGAGTGCAGAGGTGCAATCTCGGTTCACTGCCACCACAGCCTCCTGGGTTCAATCACTTCTCTTGCCTCAAACTCCTGAGTAGTGGTATTACAGGTGCTGACCACCATGCTCAGCTAATTTTTATATTTTTAGTGGAGACGATGTTTCATCACGTTGGCCAGACTAATCTTGAACTCTTGGCCTCAGGTGATCCACCCACCTCGGGCTCCCAAAGTGCTGAAATTGCAGGTGTCAGCCACCATGCCCAGCCCATCCAATGGACTTTGACAAAGGTGCCAAGAACTCACAATCAGGAAAGGACAGTCTTTTCAATAAACAGTGCAGGGAAACCTGGACATCGACATGCAGAGGAATGAAACTGCACCTCTGCCTGTCACTATACACAAAAATCAAATGAAAATGGATTAAAGATGTGAGTCTAAGGCCTGAACCTATGAAACACGTAGAAGAAAATATTGGGGAAATGCTCCAGGACGTTTGTCTGAAGGAAGACATTTTGTTTTAAACCTTCAAAACACAAGTAATCGAAGCAAAAATAGACCATTGGGATTACCTCAAACTAAGCAACTTCTGCACCGCTAAAAATAAACCAACAAAGTGAAGAGACAACCCACAGATTGGGAGCAAATATGTGCAAACTATGCATCTGAGATGGGATTAATAACTAGAAATATAAGAAGCTCAAACAACTCAATAAAACAAATGATTTAATTGAAACAGGAGCAAAAGACATGAAATTTCCCCACATACGAAAAAGTGCTCAGTATCACTCATCATCAGAGAAACACAAATTAAAATCAAAGTGAGTTTTCATCTCACCCCATTAAAATGGCTTTTAGGCCGGGCGTGGTGGCTCACGTCTGTCATCCTAGAACTTTGAGAGCCTGAGGTGGGTGAATCTCATAAGGTCGGGAGTTTGAGACCAGTCTGACCCACATGGAGAAACACTGTCTCTACTAAAAATACAAAAATTAGTCGGGCGTGGTGGCGTGTGCCTGTAATTCCAGCTACTCGGGAGGCTGAGGCAGGAGAATCGCTTGAACCTGGGAGGTGGAGGTTGTGGTGAGCCGAGATCGCACCACTGCACTCAGCCTGGGTGACAAGAGCGAAACTCCATCTCAAAATAAAATGAAATAAAATAAAATGGCTTTTAGCTGCAAGACAGGCAAAAGAAATGCTGGCAAGGTGTTAGAGAAAGGAGAATCCTGGTATCCTGTTGGTAGGAGTGTAAATTAGTACAGCCATTACGGAGAAAAGTGTGGAAGTCCTTTAAAGAACTAAAAAGAGGTTGGGTGAGGTGGATCATGCCTGTAATCCCGGCACTTTGGGAGACCGAGGCGGGCACCTCAGTTGAGGTCATGAGTTTGAGAGCAGCCCAGCCAACATGGGGAAACCGCATCTATACTAAAAAAAACAAAAAGTAGCCAGGCATGGTGGCGTGCGCCTATAATCCCTGATACTAGGGAGGCTGAGGCAGGAAAATCATTTGAACCCAGGAGGCAGAGGTTGCAATGAGCCAAGATGACATCACTTGTACTCCAGCCTGGGCACAGAGGGAAACTGTCTCAAAAACAAAAACAAAACAACAAACGAAAAACTAAAAAGAGAACTTTCATAGTATCCAGCAATTTCACTACTGGGTTTATATCCAAAGGAAAGTAAATCAATATATCGAAGTGATATCTGCACTCGTATGATTGGTGCAGCACTCTTCACAGTAGCCAAGATGAGGAGTCAACCTACCTGCCCATCAGTGGGTGAATGGATAGAGAGAATGTGGTACATTTGCATAGTGGAGACTACTCTTCCATAGAAAGAAAAACATCCTGATATTTGCAGCCACATGGATGGAACTGGAGGTCATTACAAAGATTCCCATTTCTTACCCATATACAGGAGCTAAAAGGTGGATCTCATGAAGGTAGAGAGTAGAATGGTGGCTACCAGAGGCCAGGAAGAAAAGGGTGGAGGGTAAAAAAAAATATGTGTATATATATATATATTAATGTATTTATGACCACTAGACTTTACACTTAAAAATGGTAAATGTGGCTGGGCGTGGTGGCTCATGCCTGTAATCCCAGCACTTTGGGAGGCTGATGCGGGTGGATCACGTGGTCAGGAGTTCGAGACCAGCTTGACCAACATGGTGAAACCCCCTCTCTACTAAAAATACAAAAAGTAGCCTGGCATGGTGGTGCGCGCCTGTAGCACCAGCTACTCAGGTGGCTGAGGCAAGAGAATCGCTTGAACCCAGGAGGCGGAAGTTGCAGTGAGCTGAGATTGTGCCAATGCACTCCAGCATAGGGGACAGAGCTAGACTCCGCCTCAAAAAAAAAATGTTAAAGGTGGTAAGCTATATAGGTATATTTATCCTCAATAAATATTTCTCAAACAAAAGTAAAGGGTGTAGGGGTTGCAGGTGATGACATCCCTGTGTGGGTGGGAGGCCAGGATGGGCTTCTGGGAAATGGGTAATGTTGAGGGGCTGAGGGAACCTCTGATCTTCCCAAACTGAGCCCAGTCTCCCTCCTCTGGGTCTCTCCTGACCGCTTTCTCCATCTGCCTGGGTGCCTGGAGTCCTGGCCGCAGGCCTTCATGCAGGCCATGTAGGAGGGTTTGGAGGTGCCCTGTCTGCCATCCTGTGCCCTGATCCCTCCCTCACACCCAAGCTTCGTCTTCTCTCTGCATCTGTTCATCCTTCTCTCCATCCTCAGCAGGAAGCTCCTCAGCTAAGGCTCTAGGATCATAGGACATGGGACAGCCATGGGCTTTCCTCACCTGTGACAGAAACAAGCAGTGGGTCACTCGAGTTTGACCACTCGTAGGGAGAGTCACGGAAAGAGCCGAAGCATCTGTAGGTTCCTCCGTGGGTGGCAGGGCCCAGAGGAAAGTCAGCCTGGAATGTTCCGTTGACCTTGGGCCCTGCAGAGAACCTACGTTCATGGGCCTCCCCCTCCCTGGATAGATGGTACATGTCATAGGAGCTCCGGGAGCTGCAGGACAAGGTCACGCTCTCTCCTGCCAGAACCGTGGGGCCCGGCTGGGCTGAGAGAGAAGGTTTCTCATATAGACCTGGAAGGAGAAGAGGCATTTTCCTTACGGAGGATCTTCCTTGTCACAGCTCCCTTCACCTGAGCTGAGAACTCACTCCCCTGCTCTATGACCTAATGCTCTCTCTCTCTCTCTCTCTCACCCTCCACCCCATCTCTCTTCATGTCTATTTCCTCCTTCCACCTTCTCTGTCTCTCTAGGTCTCTGACCTCGCTTCCACACCTCTAGATATGTTTTCCCTTTTTGGATTGTTTTATTCTCTCTGACTCTCCTTGGATTGGTTGACTTGATGTTACTTTTTTAAATTCTAAGTTTCTCACTTTGTGTCCTGTTCATAACTTTCTGCATATTTCTATCTATTATCTATCGATCTATCTATTTATCTATTCGGTGCCTATCTACAAATTCTCTACCTGTCATCTATATCTATATATCATCTATGTATCTATCACTTGTCTATCTATCCATCAATCATCTGTTATCTATATCTATGTATCATCTCTCTCTCTATGACTTCTGTCTGCCTCTCTATCTCTATGTATTATCTATCTGTCTTCATCATCATCATCTCTATGTCTCATCTATTAATGAATCAATCAATCATCATCTATGTATCTTTAACCTATTATCTATCATCTACCTATTTATCATCTATCTATATCTATCCATCTATCATCTGTCTTGCTCTGCCTCTCGGTCTCTCTAGTTCTCTTTGGAATCTCTGCAATTCATCCCCACATCTCCATCTTTCTATGTCCTTGTGCCTCTCCCTCAGGAGTCTAATTTTAGTGCTTTTCTCTGCTCCCTTCCATCATTCTCACCACTCCTCTGCCCTCTTTTCTCTCTCTTTATGTGTCTGTGAGTCTCTCAATCTCCTTCCTCTGGCTCATTCTCTGTGTGTTTATGTCTTTGCTTTTTGGTGTCCCTGATTTCTCTCTGTGCCTCTCAGTGATCCTTTCATATGTGGGGTTATTTGGAATGTGAGCCTCAGAATCCAGTCTGGAGACCACAAGTTCACACAGCATACAGGAGTTGGTGTTCTGGGGCCATGATATCCTGGGACGGTTACTCTCCATTACATGGAAGGCAGAGGTGTCAGAATAAACACGGCATCTGTAGGTGCCACAAGGCCTGAGGCCACAGGGCCCAACTCAGGTCAGAAATATGGGTGTCCTTGGGTTCTCCTGGTAGAGAACACTTTGTGGAGGTAAAACAGAAATGAAACTTCTAACCTGTGCCAGGTCTCTGAGCAAAGTCAGCATGGAGGGACACCTCTCTCTGG
The DNA here is from genome assembly GCF_000001405.40 of Homo sapiens. Lineage (NCBI taxonomy): Eukaryota > Metazoa > Chordata > Mammalia > Primates > Hominidae > Homo > Homo sapiens. The sequence goes on along the minus strand of NT_187676.1, from coordinate 35,084 downwards.
GACATGTCTGTCTGTCTGTCTCCTTTAACTCCTTCTGTCTTTTCTAACTCCCGGTATGGCCCCTGTGTCTGTCCTCTGTTATGACACCTGGTCTGTACTTGTGTCTCCTGTTTCTCTGTCTCTGTTGGTACAGACCTCACCAAGTCAGTCTCTCTCCATAAGAATACCAAGCTCATCTTCCTTACAACTACCTGGGGGTTCCAAGTCGTGGATCATTCACTCTGCATCCCAATGACAATGAGAAGAATGTCCGGACACTCTCACCTGTGATGACGATGTCCAGAGGGTCACTGGGAGCTGACAACTGATGGGGGAGTGAGTAACAGAACCGTAGCATCTGTAGGTCCCTGCCAGGTCTTCCATCATGGGACCGATGGAGAAGTTGGCCTTGGAAACCCCATCATGGTGCTCTCCAGTGAGGTGCAAAGTGTCGTTAAACTTCCCTTCTCTGTGCAGAAGGAAGTGCTGAAACCTGACATCTGACCAACATTGCAGGATGACTGTCTCTTCTGATTTCACCAGGGGACCTGGGTGGGCCAGGAGGGAAGGTTTTCTGTGGACTCCTAGGAAGAGAGGTTGTGAGTTTAGAAGGTGTCTCTCTTTATCATCCCATCCATGGCACCTAGAATGAGTGAGGCTTCCCCTTGCTGGTGTCTGTCTCTCTCCTTCCTCTCTGTGTCTTCATGTTCTTTTCTGTGCCCATAACTCCTGGTGCAGGTCCTTCCATCTGTCTCCCTCCCTCTTCTCTGTCCCTCTGTCTCTAGTCGCCTCTGATTCCCTTCCCACTGGGCTTAGCCTCATCTCTTGGGGTGTTGTATCTATTTCACACTAATGTCTTTCCTGCTGTTTATGTGGGGGTGAAAGAGGAACCAGGATAGGCTGCACATCCAGCCTCTTATCAGCCTGGTTCAATCTCTTTTGGATGAATTGGAATCCTTGGCAGTAGGTATGAACTGATGAATAAGGCAGGCACCAGTGTCCACACACCCTGTTCCTGGTCGGGACTGGGAGCCACTCTTGCCATGCCTGTGCCTTCTCCATGGTGCCAGCTTCCATAGGCTGGCTCCTGGTGCTGGTTTGAGGAGTATCAACCCCTCCCTATGTGGATGGAGCCTGGTGGTGGCATCATCATCCCACACTTGCTCATCTCGGTGTAGCCAACCTTCCCCTTGTTTGGTTCCTTTAATTAATTAATTAATTATGGAGACAGAGTCTCACTCCTTCACCCCAGCTGGAGTGAAGTGGTGTGGTCTAGGGTCACTGCAACCTCTGTCTCCTGGGTTCAAGTGATTCTCCTGCCCTCAGCCTCCCAAGTCGCTAGGATTACATGCGCCTGCCACCACACCCGGCTATCCTTGTGTTGTTTCTTACCTTGTCCTTGACCTGGGTTCCAGTGTTGGTTTCCTGTTGCTGCTGTAGAAAATTATCAGAAGCATGGCAGCAGGAGAGAGCACACTGACCCATTTCACTACTGGAGACAGAAATAGGACCCTGTTTTTCCTGGGCTAAAATCAAGGCATCTGCAGGGCTTCGTTCCCTCTGGAGACTCTGGAGAATCATTTCCTTGACTTTTCCAACCTCTACAGGCCACCTGCATTCATGGCTCCTGGCCTTCCTCCACCTTCAAAGCTGGTGGAGTCTCCCATTGCGCTGCTCTAATCCCCACTCCCCTCTTCCTCCTCCTTTCATGTGGACCCTTGTGATTACACTGAGCCCAGCGGGACAGTCCAGGCTGTCTCCCCATCTCAAGGTCAACTCATCAACAACCTGAGCTCCATCTTCCCCTTCAGTTCCTTCCCCTATAACATAAATAGTCACAGACTCCAGGGATTAGAATGTAGTCATCACTGGGGACAATTATTCTTCCCACCACAGCACCCATTTCCCTGTATTCAATCCCCCTTTACCCCAAATATAGTCAGGGCCTGGGTGATGGGACCCTCAAGGACACGCCCACCAGAAGCTCTGGGATTCAGGAGGTGGGAAAGGAGAATCCAAGACAGGAGCCCTCTGACCTGTGGCCATGATCACCAGGGTGTTGCTGGGTGCCGACCACCCACTGGGGTAGTGTGGGTGTGAACCCCGACATCTGTACGTCCCTGTGTGTGCTGGGGTCACAGGGCCCATGAAAAGGCTGTTCCAGAATATTCTGTTGTAGAGCTCAGTGCCAGGCACCCCATCTTCCTTTTACAGACTGAAGTTGTTAAACCCAAGATAAGAATGACACCGAAGAATCACATGTCCTGGAGGCACCACAGAGCTGGGCCAGGCAGACAGCAAGGGCTTGTCCTGACCACCTTGGGGAGAAGGAGGCACCGCCTTAGAGAGGAGGATGTGGAGCCACCCCTCCCTCCCTGTGCTCTGAAGATTCTCCTCGCTTTCCAAGTTTCTATGGCTGCTATCACACCTTGGTGCCCAGGGCTAAAGGAAGGACCCATCCCGCAAACACAAGGTGTCTCCCTACAACAAAAGTGTCAGCTGAGAACTTTGAGCAAGTGCTGAGTAAGAGACTCCTACTAGATTTTAATACTGTAAGATTACTCACATAAAACAACACAGGGTAGACATGGGGTGGAGGGCATGTCTTTGAGAATGGAATATCAGCAGATGCCTGAATGAAAATAAGCAACTGAGCCCCCATCAGAGGATTTGGAATGTCAGGGCCATGGCTGTGGTTTCCCACCTCTTCTGGTGGAGTGACAGCAGCCACACTGCAGCCCCTACCGTCATGGAAACGCTGAAGTGTGAGTAACACCTTTGTCCTCAGAGGATCTGCTGTTCCTACCACTTCCCCACCACGCACCCCAGCTTTGAGCACCCCAGTCTAACCCTGGTCCCCACAGAACTTGACTCTGCCAAGGGAATGAAAGGCCAGGGAGGCGAGGTCGGAACTGTGGGCCGAGCACCCCAGGGTCCCCTCTTCCTAGTTTATGAGAGGCTCCCTGACAGGACTTCCCTCCTGTTTCAGGAAAATCCTCTTATGTGGGGAGATGACACCCTAAGGTTTGGAGAAGGACTCACCCTCATGTGGCCAGGCCCCCTGCAGCAAGAAGAACCCTGGAAAGAAAGATCATGATGGACGATCCATCTGCAGGCAAACCAGCCCTCCCTTGCTGCCCTCACTGGGCTGTGAGTCTTGGTAGGCAGGCCCTTCCTGGACTGAAGTTAAACTCACCCTCAGTGCCTACCTGCACCCAAGAACAGGGCTGTCGGCTGTGCAGAGACCCAGCCTCCAAGCCCAGATCCCCACCACAAGCCCATATCCCCACCACAAGCCCATATCTCCACTCCAGGCCAATATTTCCACCCTAGGCCTGTATCTCCACTCCAGGCCCATATCTCCACTCCAGGCCGATATTTCCATCATAGGCCCATATCGCCAATCCAGGCCCATATCGCCAATCCAGGCCAAGATCTCCACTGTAAGCCCATATCTCCAATCCAGGCCCATATCTCCACTCCAGGCTCAGATCTCCAACCTAGGCCCATATCTCCAATCCAGGCCCATATCTCCACACCAGGCCCATATCTCTACTGAAGGCCAGTAACTCCACCTCCAGGCCCATATCTCCACTCCAGGCCCAGATCTCCACCCCAAGCCCATATCTCCACCCCAGGCCCATATCTCTACTGAAGGCCCGTAACTCCACCTCCAGGCCCATATCTCCACCCCAGGCCCAGATCTCCACCCCAAGCCCATATCTCCACTCTAGGCCCATATCTCCTCTCCAGTCCCATATCTCCACAACCAGGCCCATATCTCCATCCTAGGCCCATATTTCCACTCTAGGCCCAGATATCCACCTCTAGGCCCATATCTCCACTCCTGGCCCAAATCTCCACTCCAGGCCCATATCTCTACTATAGGCCTATAACTCCACCTCCAGGCCCATATCTCCACTCCAGGCTCCTATCTCCCCTCCAGGTTCCTATCGGCACTCCAGGCCCAGATCTCCACTTCTAGGCCCATCACTCCATCTCTAGGCCCATATATCCACTCCAGGCCCAGATCTCCACTCCAGGCCCACAACTCCACCTCCAGGCCTATATCTCCACCTCTGGGCCCAGATCTCCAACCCCACACTCCCTTCCTCTATTCCCTTCCAGGACTCACCAACACACGCCATGCTGACGACCGTGAGCGACATGGTGCTGCCGGTGCAGACAGGCGGCCGTGCCCCAGCTCAGCTCAGCAGCGCACAGGATGTTATTTGGCGCCCTGCCCATGCAGTTTACATGTTGACCACATCATGGGAGGGTGACGTACGCAGGCTCATTCTACCTTGCATGAGGCCCAGTGGGTGCTCGCTCAAGAGCGGAACACGGCTTCCTGGAAATTGTTCTCACTAGAATTTACACCTAGCGTCCTTCACTATGACCAACTCAAAACACGTCTCAGATCCAACCTCCTGAACACGAGATGCCTAAAATCTGTGCTAACGTGAAAGACTTTTCATGTATTTTTATTGTTTTTATCTGAGATTCAAACTCTTCTTCATGTGTAATATGCAAAATATTTAATAGGTATTATTAAGGTTTTCAGAGTCATTGTGACTAATAAACCATTAGAATTTTTCATGCTTGTATTTCTAGTATTACAGCAGAACCAGTTAAAATGATTTAAATTCCCAGGGAAGGATTATGCAATTATTTACAATCTTAGAATTGTACTTTATCAGCAAAAACCACACCTGTAAATTCTGGAGTTTTGTAGTTTAATCTAAAATTTGTCTCATGACCCAAGATTCCAGAGTCCCAACTCTGGAGTTTGATCTCTCTCTGTCTCTCTGCCTCCCTCATTTTAAATTTTACAGAAATATCCAGTAACATAATGCTATAGAAAATCAAGTTTCCCCAGCACGTCGGGAAGCCGAGGTGGGCGGATCAACTGAGATGAGGGGATTGAGAGCAGCCTGGCCAACATAGTGAAACCGTGTCTCTGCTAAAAATCCAAAAATTAGCCATGCCTGGTGGCAGGCACCTGTAACGCCAGCTACTCAAGAGGCTGAGGCACGAGAATCGCTTGAACCTGGGAGGCGGAGGTTGCAGTGAGCTGAGATTGTGTCACTGCAGTCCAGCCTGGGCGACAGAGCAAGACTCCGCCTCAAGAAAAAAAAAAGCAAATAGCCTATAATAACAAATTAGAGGGCTCTGGCTACTAAATTTAAAGGGTTCTATAAGGCTACATAAAGTGTAGCATCATCAAGTGTGTGGACACAGACAGCCCCTTAGCAGAAACTGTCTAAAATACATCCATGTACACACAGTCCCTTTAGAGTTGACAAAGGCTGCCGTGTGGTTTAAGGTGGCATAGAATGTCTTCTCAATAAATAATATTAAACCAATGGGTTACACCTAGTAAAAAATAAATCTAACTCACACTATAAAAACACTTCTTAGTTTTTATCTAGTTGTACATTTTTTGATTTATATTTAAATTTGAGAAATAAAAGTCATATACGGTCATCCTTCACTATTCGTGGGTGATTGGTTTCGAGATCTCCACTCAGATACCAAAATCTGTAGATGCTCAAGCCTCTTATATGAAATGGCACAGCGCTTGCAAATAACATATGCACATCCTCCTGTATACATGAAATCATCTCTTGATTACTTATAATTCCTGATACAGCCTACACACAGCTTCATTTGTGTCCATTCAACATAGTTATGAGTTTTGGAACTCTGTGGATATTTTCTCTGAATATTTTTGATTTATACTTTGTTCAATAAAGACCTGTAAACCCCACAGATACGGAGGAGTGACCGTATATTTATAGTATGAAAGATGATGTGTTGATATGTGTCCCCATGGAGATGAGACTAACAAGGCCTATGACTCTACAAATGTTTCATCGTGGAATGACTCTGCCAGCTTTCCAGGTCTGCAGAGAGTAACAATGTCACTTGTTCATGTGATTCCCGATCCTTGGAACCTCCTATGTGCTGCATCTTTGGATGGAAATTGGAGTCCCAGAGACAAATGAGGCTCCACACTGCTTCCAGAAGCTCAGAGTCCAGAGGTGAGAACCCGGTGGAGAACAGATGGGATTATATGGACATGGTACTGATAACACCGGAAGCCTTAGGCAAGAAAAGAGTCCCATTACCTAAACCATGAGGGCAGACATGTTTATTTGAAGGAGGGAAAACTACATTGAAATTATTTTAAAAAATATATAAGTTTTACTGCTGACAGAAGGCTGAAAGCTAGTCTGAGGGGAGGTGGAACAGCATGAGGGAAGGTGGAACAGCACGTGTCTAAGTGCCGTGTTAAGAGGGAGCCTCTTGTATGTTTGGAATTGTGAGTTCCTCAGTGTGATTGCAGCCTCAAGTAGACTAGGAAGTAAGCCAGTTAGGTTGGAGAGGTGGGCAGGGGTCAAGTGAAATGGAGAATTGTGGGCTAAGCAAAGGAGTGTGTTTTCTCTCCAGCAGGCAGTGGGGACCTTAGACATTTGTAAGCAAGGGAGAGGCACGTTCAGATTTGTGGTGTGAGGAAGAGCGATGCCCTAAGATGCAGACTCACGCCTTCAGATTCCAGCTGCTGGTACATTGGAGCTGGCAACCCAGTTTTGAGACAGGGCTGTTGTCTCCCTAGAAGATCCCCTCAAGGCCTGACTGTGGTGCTCATGGGCAGGAGACAACTTTGGATCAGGGCTCAGCATTTGGAAGTTCCGTGTACACGATGATATCTGTTGGGGGTGTCTTGGGCCTCTGAGAAGGGCGAGTGATTTTTCTCTGTGTGAAAACGCAGTGATTCAACTGTGCATATGTCACCTCCTGAGGGTCTTGTTCATCAGAGTCCTGGAGAGAGGGAAATGCTGAGTGAGGGAGGGTGCTCACATTTTCCAGGACTCTTTGGGAATAACACTAGCCACGAGGCTGGGCCGAGGAGCACCTACCTCCCTGTTCACTGTTCTGTTCCCTGCAGGCTCTTGGTCCATTACAACAGCATCTGTAGAAGACGGAAGTCAACAAAACAGCTCAGAGGGCACTTCTGGGCCCTCATTTCATAAGCAGATACCAACATACAGGGGGAGACCATAGGAGCCTGAGGTCCCTCAGTTGCCAACAGCAGACTCAGACATTCTATCTCTCTGAGCTCAAGGACCCATCCCATGAATAGCTCTGAGTTCCCATCCCATTGATTCTGTCTCCCACTTTCTGCCTGTCATGGAACCTTCTCCTGGATGTGAGTGGCTGCAGGGGACATGAGGATACAGTTCAGAATCAGGCAATGGTCTGTGAGCTGAAGGCAGGGACAGGGAGTCTGGTGCTCTCTCTAGAAAGTCCTCCCTCTGTGGCTGCTGCCTTGGGCCAGGGACCATCCTGTCTGTGAGGAACACACACCTGAGTGCTCCCATCCTGCTTCCCCACATGGCCCTGAGCTCTCTGGCCTCTGCTTCGTGAGACTTACTTTTTTTGTTGCAGCACCAGCGATGAAGGAGAAAGAAGAGGAGGAGGATGAAGAGGATGATGACCACTGAGGTCCCAATCAGAACATGCAGGTGTCTGGGGTTACCTGGAAGAAGAGGAGACACCAATAAGAAGCTAATCATAGCAGTTCCTCTTTATGAATTGTCTCACATTTCTTGATTGACAGGTAACCACATACAACACCCCTTTAGGACAAGCACCCAGATGGAGGGAGACCCAGCTTTCTCCTGCTTTCTCAGTTATAGCTCTCATAGTAACCATAGAACGTGTTGAGGATACAACTACTTTAGTTGAGATGTTTGACCCCTTCAAACCTCACATTGAAATTTCACCCCCACTGTGGGAGGTTGGGCCTCTTGAGAGGTGTTTGGGTCATGGAGGTGGATCCATCATGAACAGACCAATGCTGTCCCAAGGAGACGGGGTTAGCAAGTTCCCCTTCTATTAGTTCCTGGAGAGCTGGTTGTTCAAAAGAGCTTGGAAGCTCCATCGCTCCCCCTCCCCCTTGCTCCCTCTCTTGCCGTGTGATCTCTGTGGTCTCTGCACAGACAGACCCTCCTTCCCTTCTGCCAGAGTGGGAGCAGCCTGAGGCCGTCACGAGAAATAGATGCTGGTGCCACGCTTCCAGTACAGCCTGCAGAACTGTGAGGCAAACCAATCTCTTTTCTCTAGAAGTTACCCAGGCTCAAGTGTTCCTTTAGAGCAACAAAAATGGACTAAGACAGCAACGTCCTGAGATCAGGAGGAACGTCTCAGAACAGCCTGGGCTGTCTTCCTGTTCTTCCTGGAGGAGGACGTCATGCAGTGCTTTAGCTGAGTGCTTCCTGTGGCTCCACAGTACAAAACCCAGGCTGGGCTGCTCTCTGGCTTCCCCCAGCTACACTGCAAATGGGGTGACTCCATATGTCCCGAGTAGCTTTTCTGAGCCTTGAGGGACTGGCTCACATTGAAATGTAGGTTTCTGTTGTCACTCGCTGCTTATCTGTTAGTAATGAACCTGCCTGTGTAATGTATTCTCTGTGTGTTCTGTCTCCCTGGAGTGACGGTGAGTGATAGGAATTGGCATAAGCCCAGGTGCAGTCCAGGAGGTATTTAGAGTCTTCTCTGGGAAGACTGCACTGGGATTGATACACAGCGAATGTGCTTTAGGATTTCTACATCCACAGCATTCTTGAATCAAACAACTTGCATTCTCCAAGAAAAGGAAACAAAAGTGAAATCAAGATAAAAAAAGCTAAGTAGAATTCTCTTATGTCAAATGGCCAGGAAATAGTGTTGAAGCCCGTGTGAAACGTGCTACTCTTTGTGATCTCGGGAGACACATGTTAGGCTGCTGTTCTACCCGAGAGGCTGGGGGAAGGACCACCCCCTCGGCCATCTATTGCTTCAATACCACCTGTCCTCCTGTGAATTAGTAGGAAAGGGGAGCAGGAGCTAGTGCTGGCACTGATCTCTGATTCCAAGATCTGGACTCACTCCAAGGAGTATCAATGTTTACCTCCCCATAGCCTATCTGAATCTCCACAGGTGATTGGAAGTAGGGGTGAGGTGGGGGATTTGGGTGAGTGGGCAAGTTTTTTGTTGCGATGAACAGAGCACTTTCTCTATTCCACGATCTGTGCTGGAGGATTCTGAGGGCTTTCACATTTTCTATGTGATCTCATTCTCACAGAAAGCCAAATAGGGAAGAGGTTTTAAGCTCATTGCCTAATGGATAAGATAAAGGATCAAAGAAGTAATTATAGAGAAATAGAAAAACGATGATTGGAATTCAGGTGCCTTTGTCATTCGTGTGTGTTTTATTATATTTATGTATTTCTTATTTTTATTTTTTGAGATAGAGTCTCCTTGTGTCCCCCAGGCTGGAGTGCAGTGATGCAATCTCCACTCACTGCAACCTCCACCTACTGGGTTGAAGTCATTCTCCTGCTTCATCCTCCAGAATAGGAGCTGGGATTACAGGGATGCACCATCGTGCTCGGCTAATTTTTGTATTTTTAGTAGAGATAGGGTTTCACCACGTTGGCCAGGCTGGTCTGGAACTCCTGACTTCATGGAATCCACCCACCTTGGCCTCCTGCAGTGCTAGGTTACAGGCGTGAGCCACTGTTCACAGACTTGTATATTATGCTATAATAAGTCTCTTCATTTCCACCACCACTCATATATCTGTCACTCCTTTGCCAGGTATTGATTTATGTGTAGGATGAATAAATCTCAGAAAGAAATTAATTAAGCGAGGATTAAACAAGTAGGAAAATCAAACCCAGTAAGCGTTTCCAGTCAATGATTCTACCTCACAAACATATCTTATATCCATCTACTTCATTCATTTAGTGTCTAAATCAGCACCACATTTCACCAGTGGGGTGGCAATTGCCTTTTCCACGGTCTCCTAGATTCCAGTTATGCAACTGAGCCTCCCTTATTTTCATGTCAGTCATATTAATCATGTAGGGATTCCTGGTTACCCCGAGGTGAATCCAATGGCTGTGAGTGTCAAACACACACTCCTTGTTGCTCCTTAGTTTCCTGTGTACCCAGTGTGCTCTCCGTCTCTCTACAGTCGTCTTGTCATTCTCCCCACATCATTCCCAGCATTTGAGGCAGAGCCTCTTCCTTCCACATCAGATTGTTTTCACCTTTGTGCCTTCACGGCTGACAGCTGTGTGTGCAAAATCCTTCCGCCAATCTTTCAGGGGTTCAATCCGTGTTTTTCATTAATGTCACAAATATCTGAATAGTGAGACCTTCTTTGTCACCTGAAATCATACACTCAGCATTATCTATTATTGATTTTGAATTCTGGCTGGGCACAGTGGCTCACGCCTGTAGTCCCATTACTTTGGCATGCTGAGACGGTCGGATCACTTGAGGTTGGGAGTTTCAGACAAGCTTGGCCAACGTGGTGAAACATCCTCTCTACAAAAAATATACAAAAAGAATTAGCCGGGCACGGTGGCAGTTGCCTGTAATCCCAGCTACTCGAGAGGCGGAGGCAGGAGAATCACTTGAATCCAGGAGACGCAGGTTGCAGTGAGCCAAGATCGTGACACTGCACTGTAGCCTGGAAGACAGAGGGCGACTCTGTCTCAATAAACAAAAGAACAAACAAAAAATAGATTTCATGCACAGATGCTTCCCAATGGATCATTCATTTATAGATCCACTTGTGCATTCATTTTCTGCCCTCCCATTTAACCATCTGCAATATCAGTGTCCCAAGGGCAGAAGCCAAATGCATCTTGTTCACCGTTTGTGGAAGGCAGGAGAATGCTGTCCCACCCCAAAATGTCCCTGTCCTAGCCTCCATAGCTTGTGAATATGTTATTTTACATGGAAAGGAGGAATGAAGATTGTAGATGGAATTGCGGTTGCTAATCAGCTGAACTTAAAACAAGGGTATCCTGGATGATTTCCAGGAGATTATGAGGGATTTTCATCTTGGTGAACCCAATAGAATCCCCAAGTTTTCAAAAGATAAGGAAGAAGGGAGAGCAGCATTCAGAGAAAGAGGTGTGGTAAGGAAGAAGGCACTGAGTGATGCCATGTGAGATGTGACCAGTCTTTGTGGGCTTTGAGGAAGGAGGAAGGGGAACAGGAGCCAAGGAACTGGGAGCCTTTAGAAGCTGGGATAAGTGAGAAGCAGATTCTTGCCTGGAATCCTCAGAGGGAAGGCAGCCTTGCTGTCACCTTGATTTTAGCCCAGTAAGATGCACTTCCTACTTTGAGCTACAGCACTGTAAGATAATTAAAAAACCGTTTTGTTTTCACCCACGAATCTTGTGGAAATTTGTTATGGCAACAATAGGAAAAGGTTCCGCACTGCACAGCCTGAGCATGGGGCCGTGGCTGAATGAGTCAGTGAGTCGAAGTGTGCGTGCATGAGCTCCGTTCTCTGTTACGGCAAGGCTGTTGCTCTGCTGAGTCAGCCAGGGTTGCTTCATGACCAACAGTAATTCATTCCTTGGCAAGTGGAACTTCTCTAAAACACCTCGCCCTCATCAGATGTTCCCTTCCCTTCCCTCTCTCAAGCCCCCAGGAATTTATCCTCCAGTTAGGAATGCAGGCAGAACAAACATTGCATTTTTCCTGAGAAGGATGTCAGATTGGCAATCATTCTTCTAGCTTGTAGGAGGTCTCAGCTCCATAAAATGAGAGATTAAGAGATTTCACTGAGCCCTAGGTTGGGCCCAGATCCCTTTCGCTGTTGGAGTATCTGGAGTTCGGAGATGGTAGAAGACAGGCGTACAATGTCAGAGCTGCGAGATGCTGAGTCAATGCCTGCATCGAAGGTTTCTACCTCCCCAGGTTTCCAAAAGCGGATATAAGAGGGTTCTGTACTCACCGGTTTCGGAGCTTGGTTCAGTGGGTGAAGGCCAACTATTTGAAGGGTTTCCTAGAACACGAGACAGGAGAGAGGTGAGGAAATGAGGGTGTCTGTCCTCTACTCAATGGAAATCTTTGAGGTTGGTTCATGGCCAACACTCTGTTATCTAATATTGGGCCCTGGGAGTCCTGGGATCCTTTTTTCCGTAATTTTTGTATGTGACGCCCACTGTCTTGAGACTTCAAGGTATAAAGAGAAAACAGGAGCATCACACTACCTGATCTCAAAATATGTTACAGAGCTGTAGTAAGCAAAACAGCATCACATTGGCATAAAGAAAGGCACGTAGAACAATGGAGCAGAATGAAGAACACAGATATAATCCATGCATTTACCTCCAATGTTTTTTTCTTTTTTCTTTTGAGATGGAGTCTCGCTCTGTCACCCAGGCTGGAGTGCAGAGGTGCAATCTCGGTTCACTGCCACCACAGCCTCCTGGGTTCAATCAATTCTCTGGCCTCAAACTCCTGAGTAGTGGTATTACAGGTGCTGACCACCATGCTCAGCTAATTTTTATATTTTTAGTGGAGACAATGTTTCATCACGTCGGCCAGACTAATCTTGAACTCCTGGCCTCAGGTGATCCACCCGCCTTGGGCTCCCAAAGTGCTGAAATTGCAGGTGTCAGCCACCATGCCCAGCCCATCCAATGGACTTTGACAAAGGTGCCAAGAACTCACAATCAGGAAAGGACAGTCTTTTCAATAAACAGTGCAGGGAAACCTGGACATCTACATGCAGAGGAATGAAACTGCACCTCTACCTGTCACTATACACAAAACTCAAATGAAAATGGATTAAAGATGTGAGTCTAAGGCCTGAACCTATGAAACACGTAGAAGAAAATATTGGGGAAATGCTCCAGGACATTTGTCTGAAGGAAGACATTTTGTTTTAAACCTTCAAAACACAAGTAATCGAAGCAAAAATAGACCATTGGGATTACCTCAAACTAAGCAACTTCTGCACCGCTAAAAATAAACCAACAAAGTGAAGAGACAACCCACAGATTGGGAGCAAATATGTGCAAACTATGCATCTGAGATGGGATTAATAACTAGAAATATAAGAAGCTCAAACAACTCAATAAAACAAACGATTTAATTGAAAAAGGAGCAAAACACATGAAATTTCCCCACATACTAAAAAGTGCTCAGTTTCACTCATCATCAGAGAAACACAAATTAAAATCAAAGTGAGTTTTCATCTCACCCCATTAAAATGGATTTTAGGCCGGGCGTGGTGGCTCACGTCTGTCATCCTAGACCTTTGAGAGCCTGAGGTGGGTGAACCTCATAAGGTCGGGAGTTTGAGACCAGTCTGACCCACATGAAGAAACACTGTCTCTACTAAAAATACAAAATTTAGTTGGGCGTGGTGGCGTGTGCCTGTAATTCCAGCTACTCGGGAGGCTGAGGCAGGAGAATCGCTTGAACCTGGGAGGTGGAGGTTGTGGTGAGCCGAGATCGCACCACTGCACTCCAGCCTGGGTGACAAGAGCGAAACTCCATCTCAAAATAAAATGAAATAAAATAAAATGGCTTTTAGCTGCAAGACAGGCAAAGGAAATCCTGCCAAAGTGGTAGAGAAAGGAGAACCCTAATACCCTGTTGGTAGGAGTGTAAATTAGTACAGCCTTTACGGAGAAAAGTGTGGAAGTCCTTTAAAGAACTAAAAAGAGGTTGGGTGAGGTGGATCATGCCTGTAATCCCGGCACTTTGGGAGACCGAGGCGGGCACCTCAGTTGAGGTCATGAGTTTGAGAGCAGCCCAGCCAACATGGGGAAACCCCATCTATACTAAAAAAAACAAAAAGTAGCCAGGCATGGTGGCGTGCACCTGTAATCCCAGCTACTAGGGAGGCTGAGGCAGGAAAATCATTTGAACCCAGGAGGCGGAGGTTGCAATGAGCCAAGATGACTTCACTTGTACTCCAGCCTGGGCACAGAGGGAAACTGTCTCAAAAACAAAAACAAAACAACAAACGAATAACTAAAAAGAGAACTTTCATAGTATCCAGCAATTTCACTACTGGGTTTATATCCAAAGGAAAGTAAATCAATATATCGAAGTGATATCTGCACTCGTATGATTGGTGCAGCACTGTTCACAGTAGCCAAGATGTGGAGTCAACCTACCTGCCCATCAGTGGATGAATGGATAGAGAGAATGTAGTACATACGCACAGTGGAGACTACTCATCCATAGAAAGAATAACATCCTGATATTTGCAGCCACATGGATGGAACTGGAAGTCATTACAAAGATTCCCATTTCTCACCCATATACAGAGCTAAAAGGTGGATCTCATGAAGGTAGAGAGTAGAATGGTGGCTTCCAGAGGCCAGGAATAAAAGGGTGGAGGGTAAAAAAAAAAAAAAAAAAAAATATATATATATATATATATATATATATATATATGTTTATATATGTGTGTGTGTGTGTATATATATATATATATATATATATATAAATGTATTTATGACCACTAGACTTTACACTTAAAAATGGTAAATGTGGCTGGGCGTGGTGGCTCATGCCTGTAATCCCAGCACTTTGGGAGGCAGATGCGGGTGGATCACGTGGTCAGGAGTTGGAGACCAGCTCGACCAACATGGTGAAACCCCCTCTCTACTAAAAATACAAAAAGTAGCCTGGCGTGGTGGTGCGCGCCTGTAGCACCAGCTACTCAGGTGGCTGAAGCAGGAGAATCACTTGAACCCAGGAGGCGGAAGTTGCAGTGAGCTGAGATTGTGCCACTGCACTCCAGCATAGGGGACAGAGCTAGACTCTGCCTCAAAAAAAAAAAAAATGTTAAAGGTGGTAAGCTATATAGGTATATTTATCCTCAATAAATATTTCTTCAAACAAAAGTAAAGGGTGTAGGGGTTGCTGGTGATGACATCCCTGTGTGGGTGAGAGGCCAGGATGGGCTTCTGGGAAATGGGTAATGTTGAGGGGCTGAGGGAACCTCTGATCTTCCCAAACTGAGCCCAGTCTCTCTCCTCTGGGTCTCTCCTGACCGTTTTCTCCATCTGCCTGTGTGCCTGGAGCCCTGGCCGCGGGCCTTCATGCAGGCCGTGTAGGAGGGTTTGGAGGTGCCCTGTCTGCCATCCTGTGCCCTGATCCCTCCCTCACACCCAAGCTTCGTCTTCTCTCTGCATCTGTCCATGCTTCTCTCCATCATCAGCAGGAAGCTCCTCAGCTAAGGCTCTAGGATCATAGGACATGAGACAGATATGGGGTTTCCTCACCTGTGACAGAAACAAGCAGTGGGTCACTCGAGTTTGACCACTCGTATGGAGAGTCACGGAAAGAGCCGAAGCATCTGTAGGTTCCTCCGTGGGTGGCAGGGCCCAGAGGAAAGTCGGCCTGGAATGTTCCGTTGACCTTGGGCCCTGCAGAGAACCTACGTTCATGGGCCTCCCCCTCCCTGGATAGATGGTACATGTCATAGGAGCTCCGGGAGCTGCAGGACAAGGTCACGCTCTCTCCTGCCAGAACCGTGGGGCCCGGCTGGGCTGAGAGAGAAGGTTTCTCATATAGACCTGGAGGAGAAGAGGCATTTTCCTTACGGAGGATCTTCCTTGTCACAGCTCCCTTCACCTGAGCTGAGAACTCACTCCCCTGCTCTATGACCTAATGCTCTCTCTCTCTCTCTCTCTCACCCTCCACCCCATCTCTCTTCATGTCTATTTCCTTCTTCCACCTTCTCTGTCTCTCTAGGTCTCTGACCTCGCTTCCCCACCTCTAGATATGTTTTCCCTTTTTGGATTCTTTTATTCTCTCTGACTCTCCTTGGATTGGTTGACTTGATGTTACTTTTTTAAATTCTAAGTTTCTCACGTTGTGTCCTGTTCATAACTTTCTGCATATTTCTATCTATTATCTGTCGATCTATCTATTTATCTATTCGGTGCCTATCTACAAATTCTCTACCTGTCATCTATATCTATATATCATCTATGTATCTATCACTTGTCTATCTATCCATCAATCATCTGTTATTTATATGTATGTATCATCTCTCTCTCTATGATTTCTGTCTGCCTCTCTATCTGTACGTATTATCTGTCTTCATCATCATCATCTCTATGTATTATCTATTAATGAATCAATCAATCATCATCTATGTATCTTTAACCTATTATCTATCATCTACCTATTTATCATCTATCTATATCTATCCATCTATCATCTGTCTTGCTCTGCCTCTCGGTCTCTCTAGTTCTCTTTGGAATCTCTGCAATTCATCCCCACATCTCCATCTTTCTATGTCCTTGTGCCTCTCTCTCAGGACTCTAATTTTAGTGCTTTTCTCTGCTCCCTGCCATCATTCTCACCACTCCTCTGCCCTCTTTTCTCTCTCTTTATGTGTCTGTGAGTCTCTCAATCTCCTTCCTCTGGCTCATTCTCTGTGTGTTTATGTCTTTGCTTTTTGGTGTTCCTGATTTTTCTCTGTGCCTCTCAGTGATCCTTTCATATGTGGGGTTATTTGGAATGTGAGCCACAGAATCCAGTCTGGAGACCACAAGTTCACACAGCATACAGGGGTTGGTGTTCTGGGGCCATGATATCCTGGGACGATTACTCTCCATTACATGGAAGGCAGAGGTGTCAGAATAAACATGGCCTGTAGGTGCCACAAGGCCTGAGGCCACAGGGCCCAACTCAGGTCATAAATATGGGTGTCCTTGGGTTCTCCTGGTAGAGAACACTTTGTGGAGGTAAAACAGAAATGAAACTTCTAACCTGTGCCAGGTCTGTGAGCAAAGTCAGCATGGAGGGACACCTCTCTCTGGGACATGTCTGTCTGTCTGTCTCTTTTAACTCTTTCTGTCTTTTCTAACTCCCTGTATGGCCCCTGTGTCTGTCCTCTGTTATGACACCTGGTCTGTACTTGTGTCTCCTGTTTCTCTGTCTCTGTTGGTACAAACCTCAGCAAGTCAGTCTCTCTCCATAAGAATACCAAGCTCATCTTCCTTACAACTACCTGGGGGTTCCAAGTCGTGGATCATTCACTCTGCATCCCAATGACAATGAGAATGTCCGGACACTCTCACCTGTGATGACGATGTCCAGAGGGTCACTGGGAGCTGACAACTGATAGGGGGAGTGAGTAACAGAACCGTAGCATCTGTAGGTCCCTGCAAGGTCTTGCATCATGGGACCGATGGAGAAGTTGGCCTTGGAGACCCCATCATGGTGCTCTCCAATGAGGTGCAAAGTGTCCTTAAACTTCCCTTCTCTGTGCAGAAGGAAGTGCTGAAACCTGACATCTGACCAACATTGCAGGATGACTGTCTCTTCTGATTTCACCAGGGGACCTGGGTGGGCCAGGAGGGAAGGTTTTCTGTGGACTCCTAGGAAGAGAGGTTGTGAGTTTAGAAGGTGTCTCTCTTTATCATCCCATCCATGGCACCTAGAATGAGTGAGGCTTCCCCTTGCTGGTGTCTGTCTCTCTCCTTCCTCTCTGTGTCTTCATGTTCTTTTCTGTGCCCTTAACTCCTGGTGCAGGTCCTTCCATCTGTCTCCCTCCCTCTTCTCTGTCCCTCTGTCTCTAGTAGCCTCTGATTCCCTTCCCACTGGGCTGAGCCTCATCTCTTGGGGTGTTGTATCTATTTCACACTAATGTATTTCCTGCTGTTTATGTGGGGGTGAAAGAGGAACCAGGATAGGCTGCACATCCAGGCTCTTATCAGCCTGGTTCAATCTCTTTTGGATGAATTGCAATCCTTGGCAGAAGGTATGAACTGATGAATAAGGCAGGCACCAGTGTCCACACACCCTGTTCCTGGTGGGGACTGGGAGCCACTCTTGCCATGCCTGTGCCTTCTCCATGGTGCCAGCTTCCATAGGCTGGCTCCTGGTGCTGGTTGGAGGAGTATCAACCCCTCCCTATGTGGATGGAGCCTGGTGGTGGCATCATCATCCCACCCTTGCTGATCTCAGGGTAGCCAACCTTCTCCTTGTTTGGTTTCTTTAATTAATTAATTAATTATGGAGACAGAGTCTCACTCCTTCACCCAGGCTGGAGTGAAGTGGTGTGGTCTAGGCTCACTGCAACCTCTGTCTCCTGGGTTCAAGTGATTCTCCTGCCCTCAGCCTCCTGAGTCGCTAGGATTACATGCACCTGCCACCATGCCTGGCTTTCCTTGGGTTGTTTCTTAACTTGTCCTTGACCTGGGTTCCAGTGTTGGTTTCCTGTTGCTGCTGTAGAAAATTATCAGAAGCATGGCAGCAGGAGAGACCACACTGACACCTTCCAGTACTGGAGACAGAAATTGGACCCTATTTTTCCTGGGCTAAAATCAAGGCATCTGCAGGGCTTTGTTCCCTCTGGAGACTCTGGAGAATCAGTTCCTTGACTTTTCCAGCCTCTATAGGCCACCTGCATTCATGGATCTTGGCCTTCCTCCACCTTCAAAGCTGGTGAAGACTTCCACTGGACTGCTCTAATCCCCACTCCCCTCTTCCTCCTCCTTTCATGTGCACCCTTGTGATTACACTGAGCCCAGTGGGACAGTCCAGGCTGTCTCCCCATGAGCTCCATCTTCCCCTTCAGTCCCTTCCCCTATAACATAAATAGTCACAGACTCCAGGGATTAGAATGTAGTCATCACTGGGGACAATTATTCTTCCCACCACAGCACCCATTTCCCTGTATTCAATCCCCCTTTACCACAAATACAGTCAGGGCCTGCGTGATGGGACCCTCAAGGACATGCCCAACAGAAGCTCTGGGATTCAGGAGGTGGGACAAGGAGAATCCAAGACAGGAGCCCTCTGACCTATGACCACGATCACCAGGGGGTTGCTGGGTGCTGACCACCCACTGGGGGAGTGTGTGTGTGAACCCCGACATCTGTATGTCCCTGTGTGTGCGGGGGTCACAGGGCCCATGAAAAGGCTGTTCCAGAATATTCTGTTGTAGAGCTCAGGGACAGGCACCCCACCTTCCTTTTACAGACTGAAGTTGTTAAACCCAAGATAAGAGTGACACCGAAGAATGACATGTCCTAGAGGCACCACAAGGCTGGGCCAGGCAGACAGCAAGGGCTTGTCCTGACCACCTTGGGGAGAAGGAGGCGCCGCCTTAGAGAGGAGGATGTGGAACTGCCCTTCCCTCCCTGTGCTCAGAAGATTCTCCTCGCTTTCCACGTTTCTATGGCTACTATCACACCTTGGTGCCCAGGGCTGAAGGAAGGACCCATCCCGCAAAGACATGGTGTCTCCCTACAACAAAAGCCTCAGCTGAGAACTTTGAGCAAGTGCTGAGTAAAGAGACTCCTACTAGATTTTAATACTGTAAGATTACTCACATAAAACAACACAGGGTAGACATGAGGTGGAGGGCATGTCCTTTGTGAATGGATATCAGCGGATGCCTGAACGAAAATAAACAACTGAGCCCCCATCAGAGGATTTGGAATGTCAGGGCCATGGCTGTGGTTTCCCACCTCTTCTGGTAGAATGACAGCAGCCACACTGCAGCCCCTACCATCATGGAAACGCTGAAGTGTGTGAGTAACACCTTTGTCCTCAGAGGATCTGCTGTTCCTACCACTTCCCAACCACACACCCCAGCTTTGAGCACCCCAGTCTAACCCTGGTCCCCACAGAACTTGACTCTGCCAAGGGGTTGAGAGGCCAGGGAGGCGAGGTCAGAAATGTGGGCTGAGCACCCCAGGGTCCTCTCTTCCTAGTTTATGAGAGACTCCCCGACAGGACTTCCCTCCTGTTTCAGGAAAATCCTCTTATGTGGGGAGATGACACCCGAAGGTTTGGAGAAGGACTCACCCTCATGTGGCCAGGCCCCCTGCAGCAAGAAGAACCCTGGAAAGAAAGATCATGATGGACCATCCATCTGCAGGCAAACCAGGCCTCCCTTGCTGCCCCCACTGGGCTGTGAGTCTTGGCAGCCAGGCCCTTCCTGGGCTGAAGTTAAACTCACCCTCAGTGCCTACCTGCACCCAAGAACAGGGCTGTCGGCTGTGCAGAGACCCAGTTTCCAGGCCCATATCCCCACCCCAAGCCCATATCTCCACTCCAGGCTGATATTTCCACCCTAGGCCCATATCGCCAATCCAGGCTCAGATCTCCACCCTAGGCCCCTATCTCCAATCCAGTCCCATATCTCCGCCCCAGGCCCAGATCTCCACCCTAAGCCCATATCTCCACTCCAGGCCCATATCACCTCTCCAGTCCCATATCTCCACACCCAGGCCCATATCTC
Source organism: Homo sapiens (assembly GCF_000001405.40). Classification (NCBI taxonomy): domain Eukaryota; kingdom Metazoa; phylum Chordata; class Mammalia; order Primates; family Hominidae; genus Homo; species Homo sapiens. Next base: position 15,022 of record NT_187676.1, on the reverse strand, counting down.
CTTCCTAGGCCCATATCTCCACTCCAGGCCCAGATATCCATCTCTAGGCCCATAACTCCACTCCTGGCCCATATCTCCACTCCAGGCCCATATCTCTACTGCAGGCCCGTATCTCCACCTCCAGACCCATATCTCCACTCCAGGCCCATATCTCCACCTCCAGGCCCATATCTCCACCTCCAGGCCCATATCTCCACTCCAGGCCCATATCTCCACTCCAGGCCCCTATCTCTACTGCAGGCCCATATCTCCATCTCCAGGCCCATATCTCCATCTCCAGGCCCATGTCTCCACTACAAGCCCATATCTCTACTGCAGGCCCATATCTCAACCTCCAGGCCCATATCTCCACTCCAGGCCCAGATCTCCACTCCAGGCCCAGATCTCCACTTCTAGGCCCATCACTCCATCTCTAGGCCCATAACTCCACTTCCAGGCCTATATCTCCAACTCTGGGCCCCGATCTCCATCCCCGCACTCCCTCCCTCGATGCCCTTCCAGGACTCACCAACACACACCATGCTGACGACCATGAGCGACATGGTGCTGTCTGTGCAGACAGGCGGCCGCGCCCCAGCTCAGCTCAGCAGCGCACAGGATGTTATTTGGCGCCCTGCCCATGCAGTTTACATGTTGACCACATCATGGGAGGGTGACGTACGCAGGCTCTTTCTACCTTGCATGAGGCCCAGTGGGTGCTCGCTCAAGAGCGGAACATGGCTTCCTGGAAATTGTTCTCACTAGAATTGACACCTTGCGTCCTTCACTACGACCAGACTCAAAAGACGTCTCAGATCCAACCTCTCATACACGAGATGATTGAATTCTGTGCTTACATTAAAGATTTTTGATGTATTTTTGTTTTTATCTGAGATTCAAACTCTTCTTCATATGTAATGTGCAAAATGTCTAACAGGTATTATTAACATTATCAGAGTAATTGTGACAAGAAGCCATTCTAATTTTCCTGCTTGAGTTTCTACTACTAAACCAGAGGCATCAGAATAGCTTGAACCTGGGAGACGGAGGTTGCAGTGAGCTGAGCTCAAGCCACTGAACTCCAGCTTGGGTGACAGAGGAAGAGTCTGTCTCAAGAAAAAAAAAAAAAGCAAACTAAATAACCTATAATAACAAATCAGAGGACTCAGGTTACCAAATTTTAAGGGGTTCTATAAGTTTATATAAAATGCAGCATCCTCATGAGAGGGGATACAGAGAACCACTGGACAGAAAACTGTGTCTAAAATACATCTGTGGATACACAGTCCCTTTATAGTTGACAAAGGCTGCCATGTAGTTTAAGGTGGAATAGAATATTTTCTCAACAAATAACACAGGACCATAGGGTTACACGTAGGAAAAAATAAATCTAAACTTATCCTCACACTATAAAAACACTTCTTATTTTTTATCTTGTTGTTGTAAATTTTTTATGCTTTATTTTTAAGATTGACAAATAAAAATTATATACCATGGTCCTTCACTATACCTGGGTGATTGGTTCCAGGATCCCCATTCAGATACCAAAATCTGCAGATGCTCAAGCCCCTTGCATGAAATGGCATAGTGAAGCTGGGCACCGTGGCTCACGCCTGTAATCCCAGCACTTTGGGAGGCTGAGCTGGGTAGATCACAAGGTCAGGAGTTCAAGACCAGCTGGTCCAACATTCTGAAACCCCATCTCTACTAAAAATATACACACAAAAAAATTTATCTGTGCAGGGTGGCACGTGCCTGTAATCCTAGGGGAGGCTACTGGGGAGGCTGAGGGAAGAGAATCGCTTGAACCTGGAAGGCGGAGGTTGCAGTGAGTTGAGATCACGCCACTGCACTCCAGCCTGGGTGAGAGAGTGAGACTGTCTCAAAAAAAAAAAAAATAGCATAGCAATTGCATAGAACCCATGCACATCCTCCTGTATACATGAAATCATCTCTTGATTACTTATAATTCCTGACACAGCCTACACGCCACTCAATTTGTGTCGATTCAACATAGTTTTTTGCTTTTTGAAACTTCGGGGATTTTTTTTCTCAAAATATTTTTGATTTATTGCTGATTCAATAAACATGTGTAAACCCCAGAGATATGGAGGAGTGACTGTCTATTTATAGTAGTATGAAAGATGATGTGTTGATACGTGTCCCTGTGGAGATGAGACTAACAAGGCCTATGACTCTACAAATGTTTCATCGTGGAATGACTCTGCCAGCTTTCCAGATCTGCAGAGAGTAAGAATATCACTTGTTCATCTGATTCACCATCCTTGGAACCTCCTATGTGCTGCATCTTTGGATGGAAATTGGAGTCTCAGAGACAATTCAGGCTCCACCCTGCTTCCAGAAGCTCAGAGTCCAGGGGTGAGAACCCAGCGGAGAACAGATGGGGTTATGTGGACGTGGTAATGATAACACCGGAAGCCTTAGGCAAGAAAAGAGTCCCATTGACGAAACCATGAGGGCAGACATGTTTACTTGAAGAAGAGAAAACTACATTGAAATTATAAAAAAAATTTATAAGTTTTACTGCTGACAGAAGGCTGAAAGATACTCTGAGGAAAGGTGGAATAGCACGTATCTAAGTGCCGTGTTAAGAGGGAGCCTCTTATATGTTTGGAATTGTGAGTTCCTCAGTGTGATCGCAGCCTCAAGTAGACTAGGAAGTAAGCCAGTTAGGTTGGAGAGGTGGGCAGGGGTCAAGTGAAATGGAGAATTGTGGGCTAAGCAAGTGTGTTTTCTCTCCAGCAGGCAGTGGGGACCTTAGACATTTGTAAGCAAGAGAGAGGCATGTTCAGATTCGTGGTGTGAGGAAGAGCGATGCCCTAAGATGCAGACTCACGCCTTCAGAGTCCAGCTGCTGGTACATGGGAGCTGGCAACCCGGTTTTGAGACAGGGCTATTGTCTCCCTAGAAGATCCCATCAAGGCCTGACTGTGGTGCTAGTGGACAGAAGACAACTTTGGATCTGCGCTCAGCATTTGGAAGTTCCGTGTTACACGCTGGTATCTGTTGGGGGTGTCTTGGGCCTCTGAGAAGGGCGAGTGATTTTTCTCTGTGTGAAAACGCAGTGATTCAACTGTGCGTATGTCACCTCCTGAGGGTCTTGTTCATCAGAGTCCTGGAGGGAGGGAAATGCTGAGTGAGGGAGGGTGCTCACATTTTCCAGGACTCTTTGGGAATAAGACTAGCCACGAGGCTGGGCGGAGGAGCACCTACCTCCCTGTTCACTGTTCTGTTCCCTGCAGGCTCTTGGTCCATTACAACAGCATCTGTAGAAGACGGAAGTCGTCAAAACAGCTCGGAGGGCACTTCTGGGTCCTCATTTCATAAGCAGATACCAACATACAGGGGGAGGCCATAGGTGCCTGAGGTCCCTCAGTTGCCAACAGCAGACTCAGACATTCTATCTCTCTGAGCTCAAGGATCCATCCCATGTATAGCTCTGAGTTCCCATCCTATTGATTCTGTGTCCCACTTTCTGCCTGTCATGGAACCTTCTCCTGGATGTGAGTGGCTGCAGGGGATGTGAGGATACGGTTCAGAATCAGGCAATGGTCTGTGAGCTGAAGGCAGAGGCAGGGAGTCTGGTGCTCTCTCTAGAAAGTCCTGCCTCTGTGGCTCCTGCCTTGGGCCAGGGACCATCCTGCCTGTGAGGAACACACACCTGAGTGCTCCCATCCTGCTTCCCCACATGGCCCTGAGCTCTCTGGCTTCTGCTTCGTGAGACTTACTCTTTTTGTTGGCACACCAGCGATGAAGGAGAAAGAAGAGGAGGATAGCAAAGGGGATGATGACCACTGAGGTCCCAATCAGAACGTGCAGGTGTCTGGAGTTACCTGGAGGAAGACAAGACACCAATAAGAAGCTAATCATAGCAGTTCCTCTATATGAATTGTCTCACATTTCTTGATTGACAGGTAACCACATACAACGTCTCTTTAGGACAAGCACCCAGATGGCGGGAGACCTAGCTTCCTCCTGCTTTCTCAGTTGTAGTAACCATAGAACGTGCTGAGGATACAACTGCTTTAGTTTAGATGTTTGACCCCTTCAAACCTCACATTGAAATGTAACCCCCAGGGTGGGAGGTTGGGCCTCTTGGGAGTTGTTTGGGTCATGGAGGTGGATCCATCATGAACAGATCAATGCTGTTCCAAGGAGACGGGGTTAGCAAGTTCCCCCTCTATTAGTTCCTGGAGAACTGGTTGTTAAAAGAGCTTGGAAGCTCCATCGCTCCCCCTCCCCCTTGGTCCCTCTCTTGCCGTGTGATCTCTGTGGTCTCTGCACAGACAGACCCTCCTTCCCTTCTGCCAGAGTGGGAGCAGCCTGAGGCCGTCACAAGAAATAGATGCTGGTGCCATGCTTCCAGTACAGCCTGCAGAACTGTGAGGCAAACACATTTCTTTTCTTTAGAAGTTACCCAGGCTCAAGTGTTCCTTTAGAGCAACAAAAATGGACTAAGACAGCAACGTCCTGAGATCAGGAGGAACATCCCAGAACAGCCTGGGCTGTCTTCCTGTTCTTCCTGGAGGAGGACGTCATGCAGTGCTTTAGCTGAGTGCTTCCTGTGGCTCCAGGGTACAAAACCCAGGCTGGGCTGCTTTTTGATTTCCCCCAGATACACTGCATATGGGGTGACTCCACATGTCTCGAGCAGCTTTTCTGAGCCTTGAGGGACTGGCTCACATTGAAATGTAGGTTTCTGTTGTCACTCGCTGCTTATCTGTTAGTAATGAACCTGCCTGTGTAATGTGTTCTCTGTGTGTTCTGTCTCCCTGGAGTGACGGTGAGTGATAGGAATTGGTATAGGCCCAGGTGCATTCCAGGAGGTGTTTAGAATCTTCTCTGGGAAGACTGGATTGGGATTGATACACAGCGAATGTGCTTTACAGTTTCTACCACCACAACCCTCTTGACTCAAAAAAAATTACATTCTCCAAGAAAAGAAAGAAAAAATGAAATCAAGATAAAAAAAGTGAAGTAGAACTGACTTAAATCAAACAGCCATGAAATAATGATGTAGCCCAGGAACAACATGCTACTTTTTGTGATCTGCTGAGACATATATTAGGCTGCTATTCCACCCGAGAAGCACGGGGAAGGACCGCCCTCTCCGTCGTTTATTGTTTCAATACAGCCTGTCCTTCTGTGAGTTAGTACGAAATGTGACCAGGGGCTAGTGCTGGCACTGGTCTCTGAGTCCAAGATCTGAGCTCACTCCAAAGAGTATTAGTGTTTACCTCCCCATGATCTATCTGTATCTCCATAGGTGATTGGAAGTAGAGATGAATTGGGGGATTTGGGTGAAGGGGCAAGTTTTATGCCATGAACAGAGCACGTTCTCTATTCCAGGACCTGTGCTGGTGGGTTCAGGAGGCTTTCACATTTTCCATATGATCCCAAGCTCACAGAAAGCCAAATAAGGAAGAGGTTTAACCTGATTGTTTAATGGATAAGATAAAGGGTCAAAGAATTAAACACAGAGAAATAGAAAAATGATGGTTGGTATCCAGTTGCCTTTGTAATTTCTGTGTGTCATAATTATGTATGTTTTATTTTTATTTTTTGAGACAGAGTCCCCCTGTGTCAGGCTGGAGTGCAGTGATGCGATCTCAGTTCAACCTCTGCCTCCAGGGTTGAAGCCATTCTTCTGCTTCAGCCTCCCCAGTCGCTGGGATTACAGGCAGGTGCCAATGCACCAGGCTAATTTTTGTATTTTTAGTACAGACGGGGTTTCACCATGTTGGCCAGGCTGGTCTCAAACTCCTACCCTTAAGTGATCTACCCGCCTTGGCCTCCCAAAGTGTTGGGTTACAGGTGTGAGCCCCCATCCACAGTCTTGTATATTATATTATACTAGGTCCCTTCATTTGCACCACCCCTCATGTGTCTATCGCTCCTCTGCCAGGTATTGATTTAGATGTAGAAAAAAAACACATCTCAGAAAGAAATTAATGAAACAAGGATTAAACTACTAGGAAAAATCAAACCCAGCAAGCCCTCCCTGCAAATGATTCTACCTCACAAGCATAGCTTATATCCATCTTTCATTCATTTAGTGTGTAAATCAACCCTACGTTTCACCAGTGGGGCGGGAATTGCCTTTTCCACGGTCTCCTAGATTCCAGTTACGCACCTGGGCCTCCCTTATTTTCATGTCGGTCACTGTTAATCAGGTAGGGATTCCTAGTTAGCTCTGAGTTGAATCCAAGGGCTGTGAGTATCAAAAACATGCTCCTTGTTCCTCCTTAGTTTCCTGTGTACCCAGTGTGCTCTCCATCTCTCTACAGTTGTCTTGTCATTCTCCCCATCTCATTCCCAGCATTTGAGGCAGAGCCTCTTCCTTGAACTAAGAATGTTTCCACCTTTGTGCCTTCACGGCTGAGAGCTCAGTGTGGAAAATCCTTCCGCCAATCTTCCAAGGGTTGAATCCATTTTTTCCATTAAGGTCACAAATATTATCTGATCAGTGAGACCTTCTCTGTCACCTGAAATTATATACTCAGCATTATCTATTACTTATTTTAAATCCTGGCTGGGCGCAGTAGCTCTCGCCTGTAATCTTTGCACTTAGGGACGCTAAGGCGGTGGGATCACTTGAGATTGGGAGTTTGAGACAGCCTGCACAACATGGTGAAACCTCATTTCTACTAAAAAATATACCAAAAAAATTAGCCGAGTGTGGTGGCGCACAGCTGTAATCCCAGCTACTCGGTAGGCTGAGGCAGGAGAATTGCATGAACCCAGGAGGCAGAGGTTGCAATGAGCTGAGATTGTGCTACTGCACTCCAGCCTGTGGAACAGAGAGAGACTCTACTCAAAAAAAAAAAAGAAAACAAAAAACACACACACACACAAAAAACCCCAGATTTGGTGCACAGATGCTTCCCAATGGATCATTCATTTATTGGTACCCTTGTGCATTCATTCTCTGCCCTCGCATTTACCCATCTGCAATATCAGCGTCCCAAGAGCAGAGGCCAAATGCATCCTGTTTACCATTTGTGGAAGGCAGGAGAATGCTGCCCCACCCCCAAAATGTCCCTGTCTTAGCCTCCATAGCTTGTGAATATGTTATTTTACAGGAAAGGAGGAATGAAGATTGCAGATGGCATTACGGTTGCTAATCAGCTGAACTTAAAAAGAGGGTACGCTGGATGATTTTAGGGAGATTGAGATGGATTATCTTGGTGACCCCAATAGAATCCCAAAGTCCTTAAAAGATGAGGAAGAAGGCAGAGCAGGATTCAGAGAAAAAGGTATGGGTAAAGAAGAAGAGTCTGAATGATGCCATGTGAGACGTGACCAGCCTTTGTGGGCTTTGAGGAAGGAGGAAGGAGGAAGGGGACCAGGGGCCCAGGAACGTGGGAGCCTCTAGGAGCTGGGAAACGTTAAGGAGCAGATTCTTGCTTGGAACCTTAAAAAGAAATCCAGCCTTACTGTCCCTTTGATATCAGCCCAGTGAAATGCAGTTCATACTTCTGAGTTACAGCACTGTGAGATAATTAAGAAAAACATGTTTTCATCCACGAAGCTTGTGGAAATTTGTTATGGCAACAATAGGAAAAGATTCCACACTGCACAGCCAGAGCATGGGGCATTGGCTGAACGAGTGAGTGAGTGGAAGTGTCGTGTGCATAAATAAGCTAAATTCTCTCTTACTGCACGTCTCTTGCTCTGCTGAGTCAACCAGGGTTGCATCTGGTACACTGCTGATACGAATGCAAATTAGTACAGCCATTACAGAGGAGAAGAGTATGGAAGTTCCTCAAAAAATAAAATGAGGTCGGGCACAGTGGTTCATGCCTGTAATCCCAGCACATTGGGAGGCCGAGGTGGGTAGGTCACTTGAGGTCAGGAGTTGAAGAGCAGCCTGGCCAATATAGCGAAACTCTGTCTCTACTAAAAATATAAAAATTAGCCGAGTGTGGTGGTGGGAGCCAGTAACCCAGCTACTTGGGAGGCTGAGGCTGGGGAATCTCTTGAATCCTGGAGGTGGAGGTTGCAGTGAGCCCAGATGGCACCACTGCACTCCAGCCTGGGCAACAAGAGTGAAACTGTCTAAAAAAAACAAAAACAAAAACAAAAACCATAAAACAAAATGTAAAAAGACACTTCCAGAGGATCTAGCAATTCCATGACTGGGTGTAAACCCAAAGGAAAGGACATCAGCGTATCGAAGTGACATCTGCACTCCCATGACTGTTCCAGCAGTGTTCACAGTAGCCAAGATGTGGATCAACCTACCTGCCCATCAGTGGGTGAATGGATGGAGAGAATGTGGTACACACACACAATAGGGACAACTCATCCATAGAAAGAGTAACATCCTGTCATTTACAGCCACATGAATGGAACTGGAGGTCATTACAAGTATTTCCATTTCTCACTCATATGCAGGAGCTAAAAGGTGGATCTCACAAAGGTAGAGAGTAGAATGGTGGCTACCAGAGGCCAGGAAGGGAAGGGTGGAGGGTAAAAAAAAAAGAATACTAATTAATTAATTAATTAATTTTGAGAGAGTGTCTCTCTCTGTTGCCCAGGCTGCAGTGCAGTGGCATGATCTCAGCTCACTGCAACCTCCGCCTCCTGCAATTAAGTGCAACTCCTGCCCAACCCTCCCAAGTAGCTGGGACTACAGGCATGTGCCACCATGCTCGGCTAATTATTATCATTATTATTATTATTTTGTATTTTTAGTACAGATGGATTTTCCCCATGTTGGCCAGGGTGGTCTTGAGCCCCTGATCTCAAATGATCCACCTGCCTTGGCCTCTCAAAGTGTTGGGATTACAACAGTGAGCCACCGTGCCCAGCCTATAAATGTATTTATGAACAGTAGACTTCACACTTAAAAATGGTAAAGGTGGTAAATTACATAGGTATATTTCACCTCAATAAATATTTCTTCAAACAAAAAGAAAAGGGTGTAGGCGTTGCTGGTGATGACATCTCTCTGTGGGTGACAGGCCAGGATGGGCTTCTGGGAAGTGGGTAAGGTTGAGGGGCTGAGAGAACCTCTGATCTCCCCAGGCAGAGCCCAGTCTCCCTCCTCTGGGTCTGTTCTGACCTCTTTCTCCATCTGCCTGGGTGCCTGGAACCCTGATCAAGGGCCTCCTTGCAGGCCATACAGGAGGGTTTGGAGGTGCCCTGTCTGCCATCCTGCCCCCTGACCCCGCCCTTACACCCATGCTGTGTGTTCTGTCTCGGCATCTGTCCATGCTTCTCTCCATCATCAGCAGGAAGCTCCTCAGCTATGGCTCTAGGATCACAAGACATGGGACAGGCATGGTGTTTTCTCACCTGTGACAGAAACGGGCAGTGGGTCACTCGGGTCTGACCACGCGTGGGGCAGGGCACGGAAAGAGCCGAAGCATCTGTAGTTCCCTCCGTGGGTCACAGGGCCCAGAGGGAAGTTGGCCTGGAATGTTCCATTGACCCTCAGCACCGCAGTGAGCCTAAGTTCACCGGCCTCTGCCTCCCTGGATAGATGGTAAATGTCAAACAAGCTCCGGGAGCTGCAGGACAAGGTCACATTCTCTCCTGCCTGAACCGTGGGGCCCGGCTGGGCTGAGAGAGAAGGTTTCCCATATAGACCTGGAAGGAGAAGAGGTGGTTTCCTCAGGGAGGTTCTTCGTTGTCACAGCTCTCCTCACACCTGAGCTGAGAACTCACTCCCCTGCTCTATGACTTAATGCTCTCTTTCTCTCTCTCACCCTCCACCCCCATCTCTCTTCATGTCTATTTCCTCCTTCCACCTTCTCTGTCTCTCTAGGTCTCTGACCTCACTTCTCCATCCCTAGCTATGTTTTCTTTTTTTGTACCATTTTATTCTCTCTGACCCTCCTTGGACTGGTTGACTTGATCTTCCTCTTTCTTTAATTCTGAGTCTCTCACTTTCTGTCTTGCTCATAACTTTCTGCATATTTCTATCTACTATCTATTGATCGATCTATCATTTATCTATGTATGTATCTATCATCTATCATCATCTGTGTATCTATGACCTATCTCTCTGTTATCTATCATCTATCAATCAATGTATGTATGTATGCATCTATCCATCTATCATCATGTGTTTATCTTTCTATCTCTCTATATCTATTTATATATCATCTGTCTGTCTTTCTACTTGTCTATCTATATCATCTATCAGTCATTCATCATCTATTTGTCTATCACCTGTCTCTCTATTATCTATCATCTACCTTTTATCTTTCATCTATCTATATCTATCTATCCATCTATCATCTGTCTCTCTCCATCTCCTTGTCTTTCTCTGCCTCTCAGTCTCTCTAGTTCCCTTTTGGAGTCTCTGCAATCCATCCCCACATCTTTATCTTTCCCTGTCTTTGTGCCCCTCCCTCAGGGCTCTGATTTTAGGGCTTTTCTCTGCTTCCTTCCATCATACGCTCCACTTCTCTGCCCTCTTTTTCTATCTCTTTATGTGTCTGTGAGTCTCTCAATTCCCTTCTTCTGGCTCATTCTGTGTGTGTGTTCATGTCTTTGCTTTTTGATTTCCCTGATTTCACTCCGTGTCTCTCTGTGGGCTTTTGTTCTCAGTAATCCTATAACATGTGGTGCTATTTGAATATGAGCCTCAGAATCCAGTATGGGGACTCCAGGAACTCACAACATACAGGGGTTGGTGTTCTGCTCCCTCACCTGGGGCCATGGTGTCCTGCGACGACGACAGCTCCACTGCACGGAAGGCAGAGGTTTAAGAATAAACACAGCATCTGTAGGTGCCACCAGCCTGGGGCCACACGGCCCAACTCAGGCCAGATAGATGTGTCTCTTTGGGTTCTCCTGGGAGAGAACACTTTGTAGAGGTAAAACAGAATGGAACCTTCTAACCTGTGCCTGGTCTCTGAACAAAGTCAGCATAGAAGGACACCTCTCTCTGGGATATATCTGTCTCTCTGTGTCTTCTTTACCTCTTTATCTCTTTTTCTAACACCTTGTATGGCCCCTGTGTCTGGCTTCTATGTTATGACATGAGGTCTGTACTTGTGTCTCCTGTTTCTCTGCCTTTGTTGGTACAGACCTCACCAAGTCACTTTCTCTCCATAGGAACCCCACACTCATCTTCCTCATGACCACCTGGGGCTTCCAGTCCTAGATCATTCACTCCATCTCCCAGCAAGGGTGAGAGGCAGGTCTGTATTCTCTCACCTACGACCACGATGTCCAGAGGGTCACTGGGAGCCGACAACTCATAGGGTAAGTGAGTGACAGAACCAAAGCATCTGTAGGTCCCTGCAAGGGCAGGTGTCATGGGACCCATGGAATAGTTGACCTGGGAACCCGCATCGTGGAGCTGTCCAATGAGGCGCAAGGGGTCCTCAGTGATCCCCTCTCTGTGCAGAAGGAAGCGCTCAAACCTGACATCTGACCAACATTGCAGGATGACCGTCTCTCCCGATTTCACCAGGGGACCTGGGTGGGCCAGGAGGGAAGGTTTTCTGTGGACTCCTAAGAAGAGAGGTTGTGAGTTCAGAAGGCGTCTCCCTTTCTCATCCCATTCATGGGACCTGAAATAAGTGAGGCTTCCCCTCCATGGTGTCTATCTCTCTCCTTCCTCTCTGTGTCTCCGTGTTCTTTTGTGCCCATAACCCCTGTTGCAGGTCCCTCCATCTGTCTCCCTCCCTCTTCCCTGTCTCTCTGTCTCTAGTAGCCCTGATTCCCTTCCCACTGTGCTCAGTGTCACCTCTTATGCTGTTGTATCTGTTTCCCACTAATCTCTTTCCTGGTGTTTATGTGGGGGTGGAAGAGGAACCACGACAGGCTGCATGTCCAGGCTCTTAGCAGCCTGAATCAATCTCTTTTGGACAGATTGGAAAGGCTGGCAGGAGGTACGAACTCATCAGTAAGGCAGGCATCAGTGTCCCTGTTCCTGATGGGGATTGGGAGCCTCTCCTGTCATGTCTGTGCCTTCTCCATGGCCCCAGCTTCCATAGGGTGGCCCCTGGTGCTGGTTCCAGGAGCATCAACCCCTCCCTATGTGGATCGAGCCTGGTGGTAGCATCAGTATCCCACCCATGCTAAAATCAGTGTAGCCAACCTTCTCCTTGTTTGGTTTCTTAACTTGTGCTTCACCTGGGTTCCTGTGTTGGTTTCCTGTTGCTGCTGGAGAAAATTGTCACAAACATGGGGCAGGAGAGAATACAATGACCCCTTCCACTTCTGGAGAACAGAAATCGGACCCAGTTCTCTCTGGGCTAAAATCAAGGCATCTACAGGGCTGTGTTTCCTCTGGAGACTCAGGGAAGAATCAGTTCCCTTGACTTCTCCAGCCCTTAGAGGCCAACTGCCTTTGTGGCTCATGGCCTTCCCCCATCTTCAAAGCCCGCTGTGGCTGATGGAGTCTCCCTCCCACGACGTTGCTCTAACCCCACTTTCCTCTTCCTCCTCCTCTCATGAGGACCCTTGTGATTACTCTGAGCACAGCAGGACAGTCCAGGCTGTCTCCCCATCGCAAGGTCAACCCATCAACAACCTGAGCTCCATCTTCCCCTTCAGTCCCCTGCCCTATGACATAAATAGTCACAGGGTTCATGGATTACCATGTAGCCATCACTGGGGACAATTATTCTTCCCACCACAGCAACTATTTCTCTGTACTGAATCCCCCTTTACCCCAAATACAGTCTGGGCCTGGATGATTGGACCCTGATGGACACCCCCACCAGAAGCTCTGGGATTCAGGAGGTGGGACAGTGAGAAGCCCAGACAGAAAGCCTCTGACCTGTGACCATGATCACCACAGGGTTGCTGGGTGCCGACCACCCAGTGGGGGAGTGTGGGTGTGAACTGCAACATCTGTAGGTCCCTGCATGTGCTGGGGTCACAGGGCCCATGAGAAAGCTGTTCCGGAATATTCTGTTGTAGAGCTCAGGGACAGGCATCCCGTCTTCTTTGGACAGACTGAATTCGTTAAACCCAAGACGAGAGCGACACTGAAGAGTCACATGTTGTCCTTCAGACACCACAGTGCCGGGCCAGGCAGAGAGGAAGGGCTTGTCCTGACCACCTGGGGGAGAAGGAGGCACTACCTTAGAGAGGAGGATGTGGAGCCGCCCCTCCCTCCCTGTGCTCAGAAGATTCTCCCATTTCCACGTTTCTAAGGCTCCTACCACACCTGGGTGCCCAGGGCTACAGGAAGGACCCATCCCGCATAGACATGGCGTCTCCCTACAGCAAGTGTCAGCTGAGAACTTTGAGCAGGTGCTGAAGAAGCGACTCTTACTAGATTTTAACACTGCAAAATTACTTACATAAAAGAACACAAGGTAGACACAGGATGGAGGGCATGATCAGCTAATGCATGAACCATAATAAACAACTGAGCCCCTATTAGAAGATCTGGAATGTCAGGGTCATGACTGTGGTTCCCCCACCTCTTAGGTAGAATGACAGCAGCCACATTGCAGCCCCTACCGTCATGGAAACGCTGGAGGGTGTGAGTTATGCTCTTGTCCTCAGAGGCCTGTTGTTCCTTGCACTGCTTCTCTCCCTTCCTCTGCCGGTGACACCACTTCCTCCCTGCACACCACTCCTTTGAGCACTTCAGTCTCCCCCTGGGTCCCCACAGACTCAGCCAAGGGAAAGAAAGGCCGGGGAGGGCTAGGACAGAACTGTGGCGAAGCTTCCCCTGGCTTCCTTTTCCTAGTTCATGAGAGATTCCCACATGGCTTCCCATGGTCAGCCCATCAGTCAACCCCCTGTGTCGCCTGCCTCCCGTTTCAGGAACATCATCTTATGTGGGGAGATGACAACCTAAGGTTTGGGGGAAGGACTCACCCACATGTGGCCAGGGCCCCTCCAGCAAGAAGAACCCTGGAAAGAAAGATCATGATGGATGATCCATCTGTACATCACCTCCAGGCCCATATCTCCACTCCAGGCCCATATCTCCACCTCCGTCCTATATCTCTACTCCAGGCCCATATCTCCACTCCAGGCCTATATCTCCACCTCTGTCCTATATCTCTACTCCAGGCCCATATCTACACTCCAGGCCCATATCTCCACCTCCAGGCCTGTATCTCCACCTCCAGGCCCGTGTCTCCATTCCAGGCCCATATCTGCACTCCAAGCCAACATCTCCACTCCAGGCCCATATCTCTACTCCAGGCCCATATCTACAGTTCCAGGCCCATATCTCCACCTCCAGGCCCATATCTCCACTCTAGGCCCATATCTCCACCTCCAGGCCCGTATCTCAATTCCAGGTCCATATCTGCACTCCAAGCCAATATCTCCACTCCAGGCCCATATCTACAGTTCCAGGCCCATATCTCTACTCCAGGCCCATATCTCTACTTCAGGCCCATATCTACAGTTCCAGGCCCATATCTCCACTCCAGGCCCATATCTCCACCCCAGGCCCATATCTCCACTCCAGGCCTATATCTCCACTCCAGGCCCATATCTCCACTCCAGGCCCATATCTCCACTCCAGGCCCAGATCTCCACCCCACCGCTCCCTCCCTCGATTCCCTTCCAGGACTCACCAACACACGCCATGCTGACGACCATGAGCGACATGGTGCTGCCGGTGCAGACAGGCGGCTGCGCCCCAGCTCAGTTCAGCAGCACACAGGATGTTGTGAGGGGCTCATGCAGTTTACATGCTGACCACATCATGGGAGGATGACGTATGCAGGCTATTTCTACCTTGCATGAGGCCCAGTGGCTGTTTGGTCAAGAGCAGAACATGGCTTCCTGGAAATTGTTCCAACTAGAATTGACACCTTGCATCCTTCACTATAACCAACTCAAAACACGTCTCAGATCCAATCTCTCATACAGGAGATGACTGAATGCTTGGCTTACATTAAAGACTTTTGATGTATTTTTGTTGTTTTTATCTGAGATTCAAACTCTTCTTCATGTGCTATTTTCCCCAGGCTGTTCTTTGACTTCAGAGTTCAAGCAATCCTCCTGCCCCAGCATTTCTAGCAGCTGGCAGTATGTCACAATCTGCCACACCCAAGTCACAACTTTTAGAACTTTTTTTTTT